>NC_000014.9:66278379-66581409 GCF_000001405.40 Homo sapiens
CAACCACTGTGGAAGACAGTGTGGCAATTCCTCAAGGAGCTAGAACTAGAAATACCATTTGACCCAGCAATCCCACTACTGGGTACATACCCAAAGGAGTATAAATTATTCCACTATAAAGACACATGCACACGAATGTTTATTGTGGCACTATTCACAATAGCAAAGACTTGGAACCAACCCAAATGTCCATCAATGATAGACTAGATTAAGAAAATGTGGCACATAAACACCATGGAATACTATGCAGCCATAAAAAAGGATGAGTTCATGTCCTTTGCAGGGACATGGATGAAGCTGGAAACCATCATTCTCAGCAAACTGTCACAAGGACAGAAAACCAAACACTGCATGTTCTCACTCACAGTGGGGAGCTGAACAATGAGAACACACGGACACAGGGTGGGGAACATCCCACACCGGGACCTGTCAGGGGGTGGGAGACTGGGGGAGGGATAGCATTAGGAGAAATACCTAATGTAAATGTGGAGTTGATGGGTGCAGCAAACCAACATGGCACATGTATACCTACGTAACAAACCTGCACATTGTGCCCATGTACCCTAGAACTTAAAGTAGAATAAAAAAATAAAAAATAAAATAAAATAAAAGATGGAAATCTACTATTTATGACAATATGGGTAAGCCTGGAGGACATTATGCTAAGTGAAATAGGCCAGACACAGAAGGACAAATACTACATGATTCTGATTAGATGAAGTATTTAAGATAGTCACACTCAGAAGCAGAGAGTAGAAAGTAGTTGCCAGGGAATCAGGGGAGGGAGAAATGAAGAGTTGTTCAATGGGTATAAAGCTTTAGCTGTGTAAGATGAAAAAGTTCCAGATATCCTCTGTATAACCTAGTACCTATAGTTAACAAAACTGTATTGTGTGATTTAAAAATTTATTAAGCATGTTGCAGCGAACAAAGATCGTGCCACTGCACACGAGCCTGGGTGACAGAGGGAGACTCCGTCTCAAAAAAAAAAAAAAAATTATCAAGAGGGTAGATCTCTTGTTAAATGTTCTTACCACAAAAATGAGGGGACATAAGAAAACTTTTGGTGGTGATGGATATGTTTATTACCCTGAATGTGGTGACAATGTCATGGGTGTATGCATATTTACAAACTTATAAAATTGTGTACATTAAATATGTGCAGAATTTTGTAATAAATAAAAATGTAGCTCCAAAATTCTTTGACACTCTTCCCATCAAAAGGTGGATATATATTCTGGACTCTGTGACTGTTTAACCAAAGGAATATAGCAGAAGTGAGGCTATGCCAGTTTCCAGGCCCAGGCCTTAAGAAACTATCTTCTACTTCCTGTCTCTTAAGATGCTTATATTGGATCCCAGCCACCATACTGTGAGGAAGCCCAAGCCACCCCATAGTGAGGCCCACATGGAGAGAAACCAAGAGCTGGCATGCTCTTGGTTTACCACAAAGATAAAGTGAGACAGTGGACATAAACCTAACGTAGAGTTTATTATGAGTATTTAATGAGATAGTGGATTTGAAGTGCCTCACCTATATCTAACACACAGAGTGTCTCAAATCACATCCCCTAGAAGCCAACCCTGACACAAAGATTCATGTACATGTGATTCATTAAGTGTTCCCAGGAAGACCCATTAAGAGCATGGGGAAAACAGGCATGGAAGAGGCTGAAGAAAGCAAAGGTGCAGTTTTGGGTCATGTTCATAGAAAGGGGGTTCAGCTTGATTCTGCAGGGGAATTCTGGAGGGTAAGTTACACCTGTGCCAAGTGCATGGAGTTTTCATGCTCCTGAACCCATCAGTTACTGGTTAAGAGCCACCCCTTGGGAGCATAAATGCCCAGGCACCTCTGCCTCTCTGTGTGGCAAAGCAGGCTCCAGCAGCCTGAAGAAGGTAGCCTGACAGTGGTACCCCAAAACAGATGTCGGTGCTGGCTGTTGAAAGAGAACACACACCAAAATCCAGGTTGCTACACCCTTTGCACCCCTTACACACATACGCACACACACAGACACACAAACACACACACCACCACCACCACCACCATTACAAAGTTATTCAAGGTGATCTGGGTGGAGGACTGATATTGTCCACCACACAGGGGCACTCAAATAATGCTGGTTCGCATGAGGATGTGTTTTGCCCCAGTTCCTCACGAGGAAAGCCAAAATTGAATGAATTAGTAGACATTCTCCATGAGAAGACTTATACCAGTAAGACAGGGAGCAGTAAATAAAAGCAACAGATTAGTGCAATATTACTAAATCCCATCATTTAGATTCTCACATGGCAGATTTAATAAATGAGATCTATCTCTTCTTGGTGGATGCACTAGCATAAGTACCATCTAAATCAGGCCTGCAGAGAATCAAGCAACCTGATGGATATCTTTTAGCTCAATGGCAGTAATGCATGGACTATTTGGAAGGATTGGTGCTAGAAAATAGAGAATGCAATATTTGTCTTGAATTAACTAATTTTTTATAATCAATGTACAGTGAGTGATATTCTCTTGCCAAAGTAGATTTGTGACCTGCCTGAAGTATCAATTATTTTCCAATTTATACAGTAAATCTATTTGGTAATGTGAGGTGTTGCAGCAATTTTAACACATCAGTAAAGATGGAAATCAATCTATTTTCCTTAGCATTTGGCAATAAACTCTATAAATAAAACAAGTAAATACGGTTTTTTCCAGGGCCAGATCTGCCTTTTTCTTCACCCTTTTCTACTGCATGGCTGCTGGCTGAGGGCAGTATTTGTTTCCCTGGAGATTTCACTCTGACGCAAGCCCCGGCCAGCTCCCTCTAGGCCGCGAACTCTCTGGAATGGCTGGGAAATGTCAGGTTTTCTTCAGGGCAGTCCTGTTGCTGGGTTGATAGGCTGAAACTGAACTTTAAAAGTGTGTCGGGCATTGCCACACACATCATTTCATCCAGCAAAGTAAGTTGGGCAGATATCAGCATTCCTACTTTACAAATAAGAAAACTGAGGCCCAGAAACGACAAGGGACCTGCCAAGAATAGAGCTGAGAGTCAAATTCTAGGTCTTCTGACCATAAATCCTGACTTTTGTCTATGAAACCATGAAGTAACTTAATGATTTAATCTCTCTGTAAATCTTCTCCTGTCTTCTGAGAAGCCGAGAACATCAGGTCACAGGAATTAAGGCAAGGCAGGGACTGCCAAGTTGAGGAAAGGGGAGGGAACAACATGTGCAAAGCCAGGGAGGCTTAAGAGTGCATGGCAAGACTTCTGGTTTCTGCTTGAGATGGAACAGGCATCACTCCCACACTTGCAGGAAAAATAATAGCCAGATCAGCAGCGTATCCACAACTTTTCTTAAAGCCATCAGAGAGAGTTGAGGTAACAGAAACAACTTTCTAAGGAAAGACAGGTGCCTGCAAAGAGAGATGTGTCATGAGCCCTTGCCAATGCTGTCAAATATAAGAAGAATTCAGCCAAAATTGTTAAGAAATAAGGAAAGTAAGAGAATATAGGACCCCTGGGGGAAGCAGATCTACAGGAAATCTGCACCCATTCACAGGCTATTCTTCATGGACCTCCCTGAGAACCCTTAAGGCACTACAGCTGAGGGAATTAAACAGAAGAGTCCTCTACTCTTGGGGACAGGGCAAGAATGACCCCTAGGAGAGGAAACAAAAGCACTGAGTACACCACAACCCTGAGATCCAGGACCCAGTACCTGTCTAAGACTGTCTAGTTAGGATGACATGAGTGAGAATGTCTCTCCACTACCCCACCACTTCCCATCACCAGGCTGGCAAGCGGCAAGTAACAACTCATACTAGAATATTGCTGAGAGGGGAACAAGAGCATGAAGACAGACTCTCTCTGAGGCACAACTCAAAGAGAAGACCAAAAACTGAGGAAGGAAAAGACATTAATAAAAGCCCTCTAATAAACCAGCTCTCACCCTAAACACAAGGCAATACTAGAGGAGTTTTAAGCCTTCAGGACACTGAGGCTTCAAATTATGACAACAAATCCCAAACCCAGTTTACTAAAATCCTAGCAGAAGGAAAAGTGTGCCCTTTCCAGGCCATAAAAGCTATTTACAGTTACTACTATCCTATACAAGATGTCTATCTTTTTTTAAAAAAATTATAAGGCATATGAAAAAGAAAGAAGAAAACAAAATTGTCAAGAGACAAAACAAAACAAAAAAACCACTAGGCATATCATACTAAAACTGCAGAAAACACAAGACAAGTAAAAAAAAGAAGAAAACTTTAACAGAGTCATGGGAAAAAATACATTACATATAAGGGAACAAAGATAAGAATGATAAGAGACTTCTTGTTAGAAACCAAGCAAGCCAGAAGACAATTAAGTGACTATTTAATGGGCAAAAAGAAAAAACAAAAAAAAAACTGGAATTCTATAACCAGCAAAAATATCTGTCAAAAATTAAGGACAAACACTTTCTCAGACAAACAAAAACTGAGAGAATTTATTTCCAGAAGACCTGAACTACAAGAAGTATTAAAAAAAATTTTTTTAGGCAAAAGCAATATTACATCAGACAGAAATTTGGATCCACACAAAGAAATGGCAAGCATTTGAAATAGAATAAATGAAGGTAAAAACAAAATTTATTCATTATTATTATTTTTTAATTTTTTTTATTTTTTGAGACGGAGTCTCGCTCTGTCACCCAGGCTGGAGTGCAGTGGCGTGATCTCGGCTCACTGCAACCTCTGCCTCCCAGGTTCAAGCAATTCTCATGCCTCAGCCTCCTGAGTAGCTAAGATTACAGGCACGTGCCACCACGCCTGGCCAATTCTCCTGCCTCTGCCTCCTGAGTAGCTGGGACTACAGGCATGTGCCACCATGCCAGGCTAATTTTTGTATTTTTAGTAGAGACGGGGTTTCACCATGTTGGTCAGGCTGGTCTCGAACTCCTGACCTCATGATCTGCCCACCTTGGCCTCCCAAAGGGCTGGGATTACAGGTGTGAGCCACTGTGCCGGCCTATTTTTTATTATTTTTAATGGCTCTAAAAAATAACTGATTATCTAAGGCAAAACATATTAGCAATATATTGTGTATTTGTATTATATACAAAAGTAAAATATATAACAACAATTACACAACGAACTAAAGGAAAGAATTGGGAATATACCAGTAAGGTTGTAAGGTCATGACACTATGCATACAGAGGTATATTATTTGAAGGTGGACTCTGATTAATTACAAATATATAAATTCATATACTATAAACCTATGGGCAAATACTGAAACATTAAAAAAGAAAAGGTATAAAAAATAAGCCAATGGTGGCAATAAAATAGATCATAAGATATACTTAATTATTTCAACAAAGCAGAAAGGAAAAAATAAAAAAAGATGGAAAAAATAGAAAACAGCTATCTAGATGGTAGATTTTAAAGCAACCGTGTTAACAACCACACTAATTAGAGATGGTCTAAACTCACCAATTAAAATATAGAGATTGCCCAGTTGTATTAAAGAAAGACCAACTTTAAGTAAAAACTAATCAAACTAAAAGGAAGAACAGACAAATTCACAATTAAAATTGGAGGTGTCAGTACTCCTCTATCAGTAGAACAAGAAGACAAAAAAAATCAATAAGGAACAACATTATCAACCAACTTAAGCTAATTGACATTATGGGATATCTCACTTAACAAAAGCAGAAAACACATTCTTCTGAAATGAATATGGAACATTCACTAAGTCAGACCATGTTCTGGACCATAGAAGAAAATCTTAACAGACTTAAAAGAATAGAAGTTATAAGTCTCTAACCATAGTAGAATTTGTTAAAGAGGGATTCAAGATAGAATTTACTAGAAACCTTATGATGCCAGGCTGGAAAGGGAGCCTAACGGCCTTCTATGACTATGCTAGTCTTGAAGCATGTGATGCACATCAGGCAAAAAGTTTTTCAATTCATGCTAAAGTTAAAACACATAGTAGGAAACATATTTCCAGTTGTCACATTTCATCTCATCTAGCAGGAAATACCCATGCTTGATCTTGACTTGAGATGTATAGACAGAGAAAGGCAGTGAAAGATTGATGTCTGGGAATCTAAATCCAGGGCCTTCTGCTCATCAGACCCTGCTCTTCCCTTTCCTCAATCAGATCACACAGTGCAAACAATTCCGTTTGATGACTCAGCCCTCAGGCCTTAAGAATCTAGAGAGCTGGGCTCAATCTTTGCTCCATTGCTCACCAGCTATATGGTTATGGGCATATATTTAATCTCTCTAAACTGCATTTGCTCATCTGTCTAATGAGATAGCAACTGTATCTATCTCAAAGTTTTATGAGAATTAATGGAGATGATGGATGAGAGTACTCAGCACAAGATATATAGACTATAGTAAATACTCAATAAAGATAGTTATCACCATTATTATCCATTATTATTATTCCTGGAAAGAAAGTCTCCAGGGAAGCTCTCTATAAGGCTAAAACACTTGTGCTGTTTAAAGACTATGTATTTAAATTTGGAACCTGGCAAGAGGTATACAATTTATAATGAGGAAAAAATTAAATCTGCCATTGTTTCCCATGTCCTCCATGGGAAGGTCAGAAGAATAATACAAAGATAAAACGTAGGGCTTTGCTTACACAGACTTTCTCACAGGGAAGACTCTGTCCCATTCCAAACCTCCTAAGTGTTTTCCCTACCTGATCTTTGTTGCTTGGGATTCTTTTAACTAGAACCAAACAATGTCATTCCACAACAGAAATATGGCTTAACATACATATAGTTCTGGGATGGGTGATACAGTGTATTACATATCAAAGTAGAAAAGGGGATTTTATATAAGCCTTGGTTACATGAAGAGTAGGGAATTAGGAGGTCCTCACTGAAAGGGCAGACCCTGCATTCCAAAAGCCCCTTGAATCTAAAGAGAAGAGCAAATGAATAAAACTGGAAAGAGCATGGATGGCATACAGACTAGAGGTCTCCAAACACCAGGCCTCAGACCAATTTATTAGAATCATCTTAAGAGTTTATTAAAAATACAGACTCCTAGGCTTCACCCTAGACCTAATGAATCTAAACCACTTATGGTGGGATGATAGGATTTTAACAAGAAGGAGGACACAGATGTTGGAATCGTGCATCAGTACCAACTTTTGACTTTACAGAGGAGGAAACTAGCCCAGGATAATGAAGGAAGTTTGTTCAAGGTCATTTCACAACTGTCTTCAACAAGCTTGGCTCAGCTGTGACTGCGGGAGGTAAGCAGGCAATTCTGGTCACTGCCTAACTTGCCTCTTTTGGTTATTGTCTTAGTCCATTTTTTCCTGCTATAACAGAATACCACTGGGCAATTTAGAAAGAAAAGAAATCTATTTCTCACAATTCTAGAGGCTGGGAAGCCCAATATCAAGTGCCAGCAATGGATAAAGGTCTTTCCATGGTGGAAGACAGGCAGAAGGGCAAGCAAGTTCAAGAGACAGAGAAAAAAAGGGGTCTGAACTCCTGCAATAACAGATCTACTCCCATGATAATGGCATTAATCACCTCTTAAAGGTCCCACTTCTTAATACTGTCACAATGGCAATTATCTTTCGACATAAATTTTGGAGGGGACATTCAAACCATAGCATCCACGCAAGTATTTAACAAGAGTGGACAGTGTAGCAGTGTAGCTTTCTTTTTCTTTTATTTTCTCTTCTTTTCTTTTCTTTTCTTTTTTTTTTATTTTTGAGACAGATTCTCACTCTGTTGACCAGGCTAGAGTGCAGTCACTGCAATCTCGGCTCACTGCAAACTCCACCTCCTGGACTCAAGCGATTCTCCCACCTCAGCCTCCTGAATAGCTGGGACTACAGGTGTGCACCATCATGCCTGGCTAATTTTTGTATTTTTTGTAGAGATGGGGTTTTGCCATGTTGGCCAGGCTGGTCTTAAACTCCTGACCTCAAGTGATCCACCTGCCTTGACCTCCCAAAGTGCTGGGATTACAGGCATGAGCCACCATGCCCGGCCGACAGTGTAGCTTTCTGTGACCCTAATCTCTCTATGCTACCCAAGGTGACACCTATCTGAGGATGGCTGAGCTAAGCCAAAACTCTTTTCCAAGTTCAGCATCTTGAATGTACCCTCAGCTTTTCTCCAAACAATAAAACTATCAAGAGTGGAAATGTCACATTTGGTCAATAGCTGGCAGTCATGATTGGAGCAGCACACACCAACAAAAGGAATTATCAAAGGGCCAAAAATGAATCTAAACAGAACAAGGTGACCTCTAACCAACAAGAAAACACAGCCCAATCAACCAAGAAAATCTATGGGGTGAAAATGGTCTGCTCAGGAAAATCAATAGGGTGCAAATCAGTTGCACTCAAGCCCTGTAGCCTTGCACCTCTTTCTACCCTCAAAGTTGAACCACAGCATTCCTGCTTCTCAAAGACAGCACCTCACCCCCACTTTAACCTCCTCCCCACAGCATCTGCCTATTTATCCAAATGCATATTCTGATCCCGAAATGCCTTAAAACATGTCACCACATGAAAATATCCTTTCCTCCATGGCCACCACTTATCATTTCACATCTAGATTGTTTCCAGAAACTATTCCCTCCGTCTCTGTCTGTCCTTTTTACACCTGGACGCAAAGCTCAGAATAACATACCTCCTCGTCTCCCACTACTCCCTTATATGAATCCTCTGTCAACCAGGCAGGTCTCCTCATTATCCCTCTCTAAAACTCAAAGCTTTTTTTCAGGCTGTTCCTTAGAATGCCTGTTCTCTTCTACTTCTGCATGTTCTGATTGTCCACCCACTCTAAACCGGTTAAGTTAAAGTGCCCTCTTCTCTACTAGGCCTTCTTGGAACACCAGCAGCCTCCCAAAGGTCTGCTGGCACCTATGGAACTTTTCATCTGGAACCCTCATTCCTTACTGGGTGTTCGTGGGTGAGGGGTGGCATCTTTAACAATATTCTAAACTCCTGAAGGAAGGCAGCATACAGTGGATTGGGATAAGAATTCTTGGTTCCTGTTCAGACCCTGCCTCTAAGTACTGTGGGTCTTTGGGCAAGTGATTGAACCTTTCAGGTCTTTATTCTATAAAATGAGATTGTAGTATGGGGGAGCTCTAAGATTCTTTGTCATTATAACATTCTAGACTTCTAAGGCAAGGACTGTATCTTTTAAATATTTCCCATAACACTTAGCTATTCCCCCTTACTTTTCTTTAGCCTTTTAAGATTCTCTTTCCTCATTCATTAAATAGGATTGATAATAGGCCAGGTATGGTGGCTCACACCTGTAATCCTAGCACTTTGGAAGGCAGAGGCAGGTGGATCCCTTAAGGTCAGGAGTTTGAGACCAGCCTGGCCAACATGGTGAAACCCCGTCTCTACTAAAAATATAAAAATTAGCCAGAAATCACTTAAACCCAGGATGTGGAGGTTGCAGTGAGCCAAGATTGCGCCACTGCACTCCAGCCTGAGTGACAGAGTGAGACTTCGTCTAAAAAAAAAAAAAAAAAAAAGGGATTGATAATAATTCCCTCCTCATAGAATTTTTGAGAAGCTCAAAAAAATACTTTTTGTAAAATAGCACAGTCCTGGCACAAAGTAAGGGCTTAATAAATTTTTATTGTTATTGTTAAAGAAATAGGAGAAGCATATTAAATATCTGTTGAATGGATTAATAAATAGAACCTTTCAAAAGTGACTTTATTGAAGCAAAAAAAAGAAATCTCAAGTAATATTTAATTGCTTTTCAAATAATAAGGCATGTTATCTTTCCTTTAAAAATAGAAAGTATTTTCTTTTCCTTTCCCTGAGCTAGAAATTCTCACTTATAAATGCCCTTTTGCATCTGTGTTGAAAGCAGAATTTCAGAGCTATGTCTGCACCCGGCCGTGCTGGCCAGTGAGGCCCAGGGAGCTCAGGGAGGAATGTCCTTGCATACCCAAAATGGCGCTCCTGAAAGTAAAAGCCACTACTTCTTCTGAATATGAAGACCAAATATCCCATTTAAAGAAGCTACAGTCACCTTAACCTGAGATAGGAAGAGGGCATTTCTTGAGAATAAAATGAGGTGAAGTCTGCAGTTCAGAGGCCCCTGGTCCCTGGCTGACAAGGTGTCAAAATGTCAGTGTGCTCATTGGGTGAATCTTTTTTCTTCTCAAAGCACACCACTCGATACGCTTCTCTCAGAGTCAGAAGATAGAGAAATCTCACTTAGTTAGTACTCATTTACTCAAACAGCTAAATCCAAGGCAGAGGAAGCATGCCCTGAGGCAGGCCTCTGGGGATGAGATCACACCCTTAGCTAACCAGCCAGGAAGAGCAGAGCCCCAGCTCAAGGATTGGAGAGCTTCAGGAGGAACTATGACAAGGCCAGCTGTCCCAGTGACTAAAGGGCGAGACAGTCTTGCCATACAAAAGTATTCAAGGCAACAGAGTTCAGCTACCTGGAACAGATTAGGAAGCCAGAATACACAACATTCCAGAATGTAAACAACCAACTAGATTTAGAGACAGTGACAACATCCTCCTCAGAAATACATCAACTTATTGAGCCCACAGAAGAAGGTACTTCATACAATAATTTTTTTTTACTGATGCTTATGATTGCAGACTTTTATAAGTATTGCTTCAAGTTACACCAAAAAAAAAAAAAAAAAAGAAAACCCCAACATGAGATGCCTCTCTTTTGATGGAATTCCACTGGGGCTGAAAGGCAGACATGAGTAAAAAATGTACAGAGTGATTTAAAAAGAAATAAACACTTTCAAAAATGCATTACTCTGTAACTAGGTTAGAGATGAACAAGTAGTCAAAAACAATCTGTACCTGACTTCAAACTATACTACAAGGCTACAATAACCAAAACAGCATGGTACTGGTACCAAAACAGAGATATAGATCAATGGAACAGAACAGAGCCCTCAGAAATAACACCACATATCTACAACTATCTGATCTTTGACAAACCTGACAAAAACAAGCAATGGGGAAAGGATTCCCTATCTAATAAATGGTGCTGGGAAAACTGACTAGCCGTATGTAGAAAACTGAAACTGGATCCCTTCCTTACACCTTATACAAAAATTAATTCACGATGGATTAAAGACTTAAACATTAGACCTAAAACCATAAAAACCCTAGAAGAAAACTTAGGCATTACCATTCAGGACATAGGCATGGGCAAGGTCTTCATGTCTAAAACACCAAAAGCAATGGCAACAAAAGCCAAAATTGACAAATGGGATCTAATTAAACTAAAGAGCTTCTGCACAGCAAAAGAAACTACCATCAGAGTGAACAGGCAACCTACAAAATGGGAGAAAATTTTCGCAACCTACTCATCTGACAAAGGGCTAATATCCAGAATCTACAATGAACTCAAGCAAATTTACAAGAAAAAAACAAACAACCCCATCAAAAAGTGGGCAAAGGATATGAACAGACACTTCTCAAAAGAAGACATTTATGCAGTGAAAAGACACATGAAAAAATGCTCATCATCACTGGCCATCAGAGAAATGCAAATCAAAACCACAATGAGATACCATCTCACACCAGTTAGAATGGCAATCATTAAAAAGTCAGGAAACAACAGGTGCTGGAGAGGATGTGGAGAAATAGGAACACTTTTACACTGTTGGTGGGACTGTAAACTAGTTCAACTATTGTGGAAGTCAATGTGGCGATTCCTCAGGGATCTAGAACTAGAAATACCATTTGACCCAGCCAACCCATTACTGGGTATATACCCAAAGGACTATAAATCATGCTGCTATAAAGACACACACACACGTATGTTTATTGCGGCACTATTCACAATAGCAAAGACTTGGAACCAACCCAAATGTCCATCAATGATAGACTGGATTAAGAAAATGTGGCACATATACACCATGGAATACTAAGCAGCCATAAAAAATGATGAGTTCATGTCCTTTGTAGGGACATGGATGAAATTGGAAATCACCATTCTCAGTAAACTATTGCAAGGACAAAAAACCAAACACCGCATGTTCTCGCTCATAGATGGGAATTGAACAATGAGAACACATGGACATAAGAAGGGGAACATCACACTCTAGGGACTGTTGTGAGGTGGGGGGAGGGGGGAGGGGTAGCATTAGGAGATATACCTAATGCTAAATGACGAGTTAATGGGTGCAGCACACCAGCATGGCACATGTATACATATGTAACTAACCTGCACATTGTGCACATGTACCCTAAAACTTAAAGTATAATAATAATTTAAAAAAAAAACAATCTGTAAAGGAACTGTCACAGGATTTCTATAATCTTACAAATGCTCAGTATGCACCCCTCATTTCACAGGACACGCATCACTTCTGATGTCCAATTCATTCCAGACCCTTTGTAGGGCCATGGTTAAGATGGCAGCCATTATGCCCTCATTCATTTACTCAGGGCAACAGGGAAGGTGGTATAAACAGAAACTTCTTGACGTCTCCCTGCTAGAAGTTAGACAATGTGATATCTGTGTTTAAGGTTAACCACGGTTCAATTGTTTTTTAATTACCTCGTGTCTTTATAGGGTATGTGTACGATATCAAACATATCAAGCATGTATGGAAACTTGACCAAAATTATTTGGTGACAAGGCAGAGAATGCAGAACAAGTGGGAAAGAGAAGATAATGTTATTTTTAAAAAGTCAGGTAGCAGAAAAAGTATTAAATTTAGGGTCAACAGAATGAAACATGTCATTGCTCTGCCTCTTACCAACAGTAAGACCTTGCATAGGTCCTTCCTATTCTCTAAGCCTCAGCTTCATCAACTATAAAATGGAGAAAATAGTAGTAATCTGTGCCTTGTGAAATCAAAATATTGTTTTCTTTATTTAGGATCTCAGGGAGAAAAGTATAAAGATAAATCAGTGATAGACCCAGAATCCTGATATTTAACAGATTTCTTAACTATTTGGAAGGTCTATTGTTTGTATTAGTATTTTCTGGTCTCACGGTGGCCTGTGTGATCTTGGGCATGAACTAGTCCACTCCTAAGTCCCTGAGTCAGAAAGGTCCCACAGTGCAGTGAGAATCCAACACAGAACTTATGCCATGGATGCTGGGACTGAACAAATGGGTGCTTAATAGCCAGAGCAGGGTCTTTTCACCTGCTCTGGCTATTAAGGGAAAGGGGAAATAATTTATTTTCATAAAGGAAGCCTTCTGGGGTGGCCCGGTCTCCTGAATATTTATCACATCTCAAAGGAGGAAAATTAATTAAATAGGTTAGTCCTGCGTCTATGACAGAGACTTCACAACTCTGCTGTATTGTGTTCCTCCATGCTCCCTAAGTGCATACACACAAGCACACACTGAAGGCATGTCAACCGCAATGGAAGTGCCCTAGCTCTAGAAGACCACCTACTCTCTAAAGCAGTGAAAGCCAAAGCAACAAACCCAACCCTTGCCCCTAATTTGTACCTGTGGGAATTTCCTCCCTGACCCATAGTGATGGTCTCTGAGTCTACCTCAGAAGTGGTTTCAGCAAGCCTGGTTTCCTTCCACCTCCCTCCCCTCAGTGTCCAGTTCCCATGTTGTGCCAAGGTTGCCAGCCAAGGGACCAATTAGTGTCAACTGTGATGTCAACACTTGCCTGTCAAGTCCTGCATCCAGTTACATCTTCCTAATGAAGCCCTGAACTATTTAATTAGAAGTTGCTCTGACAATTCTGTCTTTGTCACATCAGCAATAGATTGTAACACAAGGGAGAAAATTTCCATTGAACCCTGCCATGGCATTTGCTCTGTAAATTGAGATGAGTGGGATGCATTCACCTTGCTAATGCATGGAATTAAGAGGTAGCATAGTTTCCCATCTTATCTAGTGGGAAGATATAATAACACAGCTACACATGAAACAAAGGACTTTTGGTTTGCTGTTTGCTAACCATCTCTGCCTTTTGAGGAATACTTAAACTGTCTTTAAGGGTGTTGCCTTTAGAGTCAGAAGAACCTGAGTTTGGATTTTTGCTCTGGCCTTTATGAACTGCCTGATTTGGGGCTAAATTTTTAACTTTTCCAAGAACTCAGGTTTCTCACCTGTTAAGTGGATATAATGATGCCTACCTTAATGATTAAAACAAAATGAATATGAAGCACTACACATAAGAACTAAATACTCAATGAAGAACTGTTCTTATCACTATTACATCTCAATGTCCTGTGTTCTAAACTAAAAGATGAATTCCACACTGTGGTAAGTATAACACTGTCTTCTACTGACTTCTACGTCTCCCTTGTTTGTTACTCTAGCCCCTTCTCTTTTCCAACTTAATTACTTCACCAGTCCTTACAAAATGTAGATTTCATCCATCTCATCACTCTAATTGTCCTGTATAAATTTCAGTTTGTAGGTTATTTCCAAAATGTGTGGCCTCAAAGTCTGAATGCCAAGCTCAGTATCACAAAGCACGATGGAACTGTATTTCCCTTGAACTGGATAACTTGCTTGCCAATTCAGTCTTGGATCCCATTAACTTTTCAGCAGCCATTCCACAAGGAGATGGAAAAGGGCCCTTCTAGCCTAAGGGCCAAGAAAAGGTGAGCTATTTGGAAGAAACCACCTAACTCCACCCATTTATGTTTTTATTAAATGGAGAGAAAATGAGCTCTTGAATGATATAATTCATTTGTGATTATTTCATTCTTTGAAAAGGTTAAGGTGCTTACCACAAAATATAAAACAGTAATCTGCATCTCTACTGCTGAAATTTTGGAAAGGGGATTTGGAAATTTTGGAGGGCCACTATTCTGCTACAGTCTTGAGAGACAAGCAAACAAAGTATTAGGATAAAGTCTGACAACCAAGGAAAATAAAGATAAAGAGTGAAATTGATCCATAATTTCACTAGTTTCTCTCTTCCAGTTCAGAAGAAAACAAGAAAATGTAGGTCTTTTCAAAAGGTAAAATTACCTTTAAAAAAGAAAGTATGATAGGATAGGATTCCTTTCCTTTTCTAAAGATTATCTTTTTAAACACAGCTCTTTTTCCCTGTAAACTACCACTCCTCCTCCCTGAAGATGCCCAACAAGGGCACACTGCCCATCAGCAGAGAGGGAAGTGTCAGCAAAGAGTCCTGCAATTACTGAATGTGATAGTAACATGAGGGAACATTGTCTGGGAGCAGGATCCTCTGAGTTTTCTGTTTCTCATTCTATTTGCATCCCAGGTAAAGAATAATACTTCTAAAAACCTGGCAAGGATTTCCACACTCCCTGCCATCCCAAAGTGTGTGCAGCCTTTGCAGCTGGCACATCTGCAAAGCCACTCCTTCCCTGCAGGGTAAGGCAGAGAAAGGAGGAAAAATGGCTTCACCGGGTGGAGTTCTGTGAGAGTAAGAATAACATGTGGTAAAAACAGATTAGGTTTCAGATGATAATAAGGATCGGAAGTCAAAATTCTTATGTATGTACAAAGAAGCATTTTCATTGACAGCCAGGAAAATTTGGTTATCAGTGAACCATGTTCTGCTTTTGGAAAGGCATCCAAAGCAGAAACCATCCAAAGGCAGAACCAAAACAGAAAGTAAAATCATGCGTCCCCCAACTTGAACATGGAAGCAGAAATAGAGACTTAAGTGCTCTAAGTCAGGGACTCTCTTTGGGATATGTAATGGGCAGACAAAGAATGAATGATATAGACAGACAGAGAGAGAGCCTGAAGGATCCCAGAGAGAGAAATGAGGCAGAGAGGATATGATACAGGGAAGATGAAGGAGAGAAAGAAGAGATGAACAGAGAGAAATGCAAGAGGCCCAAAGGGAAGGGGAAAGTGTTAAAGAGAAAATCAGAAGCAGAATGAAAGTTAGAGAAAAGGCATTTGATGGACAGGCCAAAGCAAAAAAAAAAAAAAAAAAAAAAAGGAAAGGAAAAATAATAGAAATGAAAATGAAGGAGAAAGTGGAAATGAATTAAAGGATGCTGGGTAGACTACAGAGACGCTGAGAACCTGAAGAGGCACCAAGGCCTTGCTCATCATGCAGGTCTTCAGAGGACCTGGCAATTGCAAAGCACTGCCTAAGGTTACTAACATTTACTTTCCAAGACCATGGAGTTTGGGGTCAAGTGGATCCTGATTCAGATCCTCTGGGAAGACAATTAACCTCTTGAGTTTTAGTTTGCACATCTGCAAAATGGGGATAATAATCGGCTTCACTGGATTGTTGTGATTATTAAATATGATAACATATATAAAATCCCATCACAATACCTAACATATAACGGATGCTCAGTAAATGTTAGTTTCCCCTCTTTCCCCAAATTAGGCATTCTACTCTGGCCTTTTCAGTCATTAATAATTTGTACTGCCTCGTCCACCCTATCACAAACCCTGGCTTTCAACTGTAAACTCCTTAAGGGCAGAACCTGGCTTCAGAGAATCCTCAGTGCCCTACACAGTGCTTGGCACAAGGCCTGTGTTCAATAATTAAACGGAAAAATAAACATTTGTTGAATAAATGAATATATAAATGAACAAATGAATGAATGAATGAACAAACAAATGAACTAATTAAAAAACAATCTTCCTGGCTGGGCATGGCGGCCCACACTTGTAATCCCAGCAATTTGGGAGGCTGAGGCAGGTGAAACACGAGGTTAGGAGTTCAATACCAGCCTAGCTAACATGGTGAAACCCTGTCTCTACTAAAATACAAAAATTAGCCAGGCACGGTGGTGGGAACCTGTAATCCCAGCTACTCAGGAGGCTGAGGCAGAATTGCTTGGACCCAGGAGGTGGAGGTTGCAGTGAGCCGAGATCACACCACTGCACTCCAGCCTGGGTGACAGAGCAAGACTCCATCTCAAAAACAAACAAACAAACAAACAAAAAAAACCTTCCTTTATGGGGAATTTAGTTACTGTATATGTGGGTTGAGTGCAGAAAATAGAATCTATTCCAGAGAGTTCAAGCATGGAGCTTAATGTTGGGTATTAGGGCTTAAGGAGATATTGAGAAGACTAGAAGAGCATTGGTCAGGGAGCTGCCCCTCAACTATAGATTTCAAGGTCACCCCATTATGACTCTCTCAAGGAAAGATTATGGTTTATTATTTCATGCATTCATCTGTTCTTCATTCACTCACGTACTTATTCATTTAACAAATGTTTATCTGTCCATTTAGTTACCCACAGATCAGGAATGTGCTGCTTTGGCTATGGCCATGACTTCCTCTAATACTCACAAAGCTGGTGACTAGACAGGGCTCCCATTATCCCAACAATTCCAACACTCACATGTCATAACCCAGCTTCCCGGCAACAACAGCTGTAGGAAAATGGCAGCTGCCTCTTTTTTTTCAAATCTTAAACTGAGTGCACATAATTGGCAGAAGAAAATTTACCTTCATGAGCCTGAGACATGTAGTTTTATAGTTTTTTAAATTACCTAACTAGGGAGCTCCGTTCCAAGACGGCCAAATAGGAACAGCTCCAGTCTGCAGCTTTCAGTGTGATTGACGCAGAAAATGGGTGATTTTTGCATTTCCAACTGAGGTACATGGTTCATCTCATTGGGACTGGTTGGAAAGTGGGTACAGCCCATGGAGGGTGAGCTGAAGCAGGGCAGGGTGTCGCCTCAGTCGGGAAGCACAAGGGGTCGGGGGATTTCCCTTTCCTAGCCAAGGGAAGCTGTGACAGACTGTACCTGGAAAAACAGGACACTCTTGCCCAAATACTGAGCTTTTCCCAAGGTCTTAGCAAGCAGCACACAAGGAGATTCTCTTCTGTGCCTGGATGGGCAGTTCCCATGCCCACAGAGCCTTGCTCACTGCTAGCGCAGCAGTCTGAGATCAAACTGTGAGGCAGCAGCCTGGCTGAGGGAGGCACATCCGCCATTGCTGAGGCTTGAGTAGGTAAACAAAGTGGCCAGGGAGCTCGAACTGGGCAGAGCCCACCACAGCTCAGCAAGGCCTACTGCCTCTAGACTCCACCTCTGTGGACAGGGCATAACTGAACAAAAGGCAGAAGACAACTTCTGCAGACATAAACGTCCCTGTCTGACAGCTCTGAAGAGAGCAGTGGTTCTCCCAGCATGGCATTTGAGCTCTGAGAATGGACAGACTGCTTCCTCAAGTGGGTCCCTGACCTCCGTGTAGCCTAACTGGGAGACACCTCCCAGTAGGGGCCGATAGACACCTCATATAGGTGGGTGCCTCTCTGGGATGAAGCTTCCAGAGGAAGGATCAGGCAGCAATATTTGCTGTTCCACAATATTTGCTGTTCTACAGCCTCCACTGATGATACCCAGGCAAACAGGGTCTGGAGTGGACCTCCAGCAAACTCCAACAGACCTGCAGCTGAGGGACATGACTGTTAGAAGGAAAACTAACAAACGGAAAGGAATAGCATCAACATCAACAAAAAGTACATCTACACCAAAACCCCATCTGTAGGTCACCAACTTCAAAGACCAAAGGTAGATAAAACCACAAAGATGGGGAGAAACCAGAGCAGAAAAGCTGAAAATTCTAAAAATCAGGGTGGCTCTTCTCCTTGCCAGCAATGGAACAAAGCTGGACGGAGAATGACTTTGATGAGTTGACAGAAGTAGGCTTCAGAAGGTCAGTAATAACAAACTTCTCTGAGCTAAAGGAGCATGTTCCAACCCATTGCAAGGAAGCTAAAAACCTTGAAAAAGGGTAAGACAAATGGCTAACTAGAATATACAGTGTAGAGAAGACCTTAAAAGACCTGATGGAGCTGAAAACCATGGCACAAGAACTACGTGACGCATGCACAAGCTTCAATAGCCTATTCGATGAAGTGGAAGGAAGGGTTTCAGTGATTAAAGATCAAATTAATGAAATAAAGTGGGAAGACAAAGTTAGAGAAAAAAAGAGTAAAAAGAAATGAACAAAGCCTCCAAGAAATATAAGACTATGTGAAAAGACCAAATCTAAGTTTGATTGGTGTACCTGAAAGTACACCAGTCAGGGAGAATGGAACAAAGTTGGAAAACACTCTTCAGGATATTATCCAGGAGAACTTCACCAACCTAGCAAGGGAGGCCAACATTCAATTCAGGAAATACAGAGAACACCATAAAGATACTTCTCGAGAAGAGCAACCCAAAGACACATAATCATCAGATTCACCAAGGTTGAAATGAAGGAAAAAATGTTAAGGGCAGCCAGAGAGAAAGGTTGGGTTCCCACAAAGGGAAGACCATCAGACTAACATTCAAAAGCTAGCAGAAGGCAAGAAATAACTAAGATCAGAGCAGAACTGAAAGACATAGAGGCACAAAAATCCCTTCAAAAAATTAATGAATCCAGGAGCTGGTTTTTTGAAACAATCAACAAAATTGATAGACCGCTAGCAAGACTAATAAAGAAGAAAAGAGAGAAGAATCAAATAGACGCAATAAAAAATGATAGAGGGGATATCACCACTGATCCCACAGAAATACAAACTACCATCAGAGAATACTATAAATACCTCTACACAAATAAACTACAAAATCTAGAAGAAATGGATAAATTCCTAGACACATACATCCTCCCAAGACTAAACCAGGAAGAAGTTGAATCTCTGAATAGACCAATAACAGGCTCTGAAATTGAGGCAATAATTAACAGCCTACCGACCAAAAAAAGTCCAGGACCAGACGGATTCACAGCCAAATTCTACCAGAGGTACAAAGAGGACCTGATACCATTCCTTCTGAAACTATTCCAATCAACAGAAAAAGAAGGAATACTCCCTAACTCATTTTATGAGGCCAACACCATCCTGATACCAAAGCCTGGCAGAGATACAACAAAAAAAGATAATTTTAGACCAATATCCCTGATGAACATAGATGCAAAAATCCTCAATAAAATACTGGCAAACCAAATCCAGCAGCACATCAAAAAGCATATCCACCATGATCAAGTCAGGATCATCCCTGGGATGCAAGGCTGGTTCAACATATGCAAATCAATAAATGTAATCCATCACATAAACAGAACCAACAACAAAAACCACATGATTATCTCAATAGATGCAGAAAAGGCTTTCCACAAAATTCAACAACGCTTTATGCTAAAAACTCTTAATAAATTAGGTATTGATAGAACATATCTCAAAATAATAAGAGCTATTTATGACAAACTCACAGCAATATCATGCTGAATGGGCAAAAACTGGAAGCATTCCCTTTGAAAACTGGCACAAGACAAGGATGCCCTCTCTCACCACTCCTATTCAACATAGTGTTGGAAGTTCTGGCCAGGGCAATTAGGCAGGAGAAAGAAATAAAGGGTATTCATTCAGGAAAAGAGGAAGTCAAATTGTCTCTGTTTGAAGATGACATGATTGTATATTTAGAAAACCCCATCGTCTCAGCCCAAAATCTCCTTAAGCTGATAGGCAACTTCAGCAAAGTCTCAGGATACAAAATCAATGTGCAAAAATCACAAGCATTCTTATACACCGATAATAGAGAGCCAAATCATGAGTGAACTCCCATTCACAATTGCTACAAAGAGAATAAAATACCTAGGAATCCAACTTACAAGGGATGTGAAGGACCTCTTCAAGGAGAACTACAAACCACTGCTCAACGAAATAAGAAAGGACACAAACAAATGGAAGAACATTCCATGCTCATGGATAGGAAGAATCAATATCGTGATAATGGCCATACTGCCCAAAGTAATTTATAGATTCAATGCCATCCCCATCAAGCTACCAATGACTTTCTTCACAGAATTGGAAAAAACTACTTTAAAGTTCATATGGAACCAAAAAAGAGCCCACATTGCCAAGACAATCCTAAGCCAAAAGAACAAAGCTGGAGGCATCACACTACCTGACTTCAAACTATATTACAAGGCTACAGTAACCAAAGCAGCATGGTACTGGTACCAAAACAGAAAGATAGACCAATGGAACAGAACAGAGCCCTCAGAAATAACACCACACATCTACAACCATCTGATCTTTGACAAACCTGACAAAAACAAGCAGTGGGGAAAGGATTCCCTATTTAATAAATGGTGATGGGAAAAATGGCTAGCCACATGTAGAAAGCTGAAACTGGATCCCTTCCTTACACCTTATACAAAAATTAATTCAAGGTGGATTAAAAACTTAAATGTTAGACCTAAAACCATAAAAACCCTAGAAGAAAACCTAGGCAATACCATTCAGGACAGAGGCACGGGAAAGGACTTCATGACTAAAACACCAAAAGCAATGGCAAAAAAACTCAAAACAGACAAATGGGATCTAATTAAACTAAAGAGCTTCTGCATGGCAAAAGAAACTACCATCAGAGTGAACAGGCAGCCTACAGAATGGGAGAAAATTTTTGCAATCTACTCATCTGACAAAGGGCTAATATCCAGAATCTACAAATAACTCAAACAGATTTACAAGAAAAAAAACAAACAACCCCATCAAAAGGTGGGCAAAGAATATGAACAGACACTTCTCAAAAGAAGACATCTATGCAGCCAACAGACACATGAAAAAAATGCTCATCATCACTGGTCATCAGAGAAAAGCAAATCAAAACCACAGTGAGATACCATCTCACGCCAGTTAGAATGGCGATTATTAAAAAGTCAGGAAACTACAGATGCTGGAGAGGATGTGGAGAAATAGGAATGCTTTCACACTGTTGGTGGGAGTGTAAATTAGTTCAACCATTGTGGAAGACAGTGTGGTGATTCCTCAAGGATCTAGAGCTAGAAATACCATTTGACCCAGCAATCCCATTACTGGGTATATACCCAAAGGATTACAAATCATGCTACTATAAAGACACATGCACACATACGTTTACTGAGGCACTAGTCACAATAGCAAAGACTTGGAACCAACCCAAATGTCCATCACTGATAGACTGGATTAAGAAAATGTGGCACATATACGCAATGGAATACTATGCAGCCATAAAAAAGGATGAGTTCATGTCCTTTGCAGGGACATGGATGAAGCTGGAAACCATCATTCTCAGCAAACTATCATAAGGACAGAAAACCAAACACTGCATGTTCTTACTCATAGGTGGGAATTGAACAATGAGATCACTTGGACACAGGGTGGGTAACATCACAAACTGGGGCCTGTCAGGGGTGGGGGCCTGGGGGAGGGATAGCATTAGGAGAAATACCTAATGTAAATGACGAGTTGATGGGTGCAGCAAAGCAACAGGGCACATATATACCTATGTATCAAATCTGTACATTGTGCACATGTACCCTAGAACTTAGAGTATAATAAAAATAAAATTTCAAAAAAAAAAAATAACCTAACTAGAAAGATGGTGAAGATTAAAAGAGACAATCCATGTTGGGAAGTTCTTTCAGTGTAACAAGAAAACTGGCTTCAGTCATGAGAGAGGACAAAGCAAGAGAAGAAACAGAAAGTGCTAAGAGATAAATATGACTACTCTGTGGCCTTGATTTTCCAGGATTTTTCCAATTTTGAACACTTGAGCCCATCATCAGACCTCATATACCTTTTGGGGTTTGTAAAACTTGCTCACATCAGGTACAGAAGAACAAAATGTACTACATTCCTGAAATATCATTTATTCTATGACTTTCTCTGTATAGAAGGCCGTCAGCATTCTGGAAAGAAATTACGGTAATTGAGACTGGTATCTGTCCTACCAAATGTTTGCTCAGAATCTTGAAAACATTCCCTTCTGTTGCATAAAGGAGGCATGTTTTCCAAACCAACTTCTGAATGAATCACAAGCTGTGGCAGTTATGAGAATGTACCACACAGACTTCCAATTGCAGGGAGCCTAATTGACCAACAGCCCCAAGCTGCTGCTGGGCTCTGACATTCATTGAAATCCATCACTGCTATTGCACCAAGGCCACTTGTCCCACAAGCTGCTCCTAGGCAATAACTAACACGGCATGGACTCTAAAGCAGGCCCTTTCCTGAGAGAGAGAATACTCTACTGGTGGGTGACGTTGGTTTAAGGACTCCCCGAGAGGCTTGTCAAACTTTTCTTAGGACTTTCCTTAGCTTGCTAAGCAATCTAGAATCTTTACCCCCAATCTTTCTTTCCTCTCTCCTTCACTCAGGGTCAGACTTGCATCATGACAGCTCTTCCCCCTTTCTCAACTCTCTTCCTATTTTATCAGGCATTTTCCCTAATAAAATCCTGCCTTGGTATTCGCTTCCTGGAGGACTGAGGCTAACACACGAGTCATGCTGGGGATGCCTTATGGCTGATCTTCAATGTCCCAGACCAAGCATGTCAATGGGATAGGGAGGGAGACAGAGAAAAGAGGATCATTTGAGACTATCCAGAGTATGCTTCTTTCCGAGGCAATGGAACCATGTTTTACATATACATGCATCTCGCAAGCTTTCAGTTGTGAGAGGAGGAAGCCAGAGAAGAGCCAGGAAGGGCTAAGAGATAAACGTGACTCCTTTATGACCTTGAGTTTCCAGGATTATTCCAATTTAGATATTCAGGCCATCACCAGACCTCATTTACCTTTGGAGGTTTGTAAAATCTGTCCATATCAGATACAGAAGAATAAAATTCACCTCAATTCCTAAATATCATATATATGTATATATATATATATACACATTAGTGTATGTGTGCATATGTGTTTATACAAGAGCAATAACTATTAAAGGAAGGATATTGTGTATTGTTAACCCTCGTCAAGAAAATAATCTCCATGGTGTATATGTGCCACATTTTCTTAATCCAGTCTATCATTGTTGGACATTTGGGTTGGTTCCAAGTCTTTGTTATTGTGAATAATGCCGCAATAAACATACGTGTGCATGTGTCTTTATAGCAGCATGATTTATAGTCCTTTGGGTATATACTCAGTAATGGGATGGCTGGGTCAAATGGTATTTCTAGTTCTAGATCCCTGAGGAATCACCACACTGACTTCCACAATGGTTGAACTAGTTTACAGTCCCACCAACAGTGTAAAAATGTTCCTATTCCTCCACATCCTCTCCAGCACCTGTTGTTTCCTGACTTTTTAATGATTGCCATTCTAACTGGTGTGAGATGGTATCTCATTGTGGTTTTGATTTGCATTTCTCTGATGGCCAGTGATGGTGAGCATTTTTTCATGTGTTTTTTGGCTGCATAAATGTCTTCTTTTGAGAAGTGTCTGTTCATGTCCTTCGCCCACTTTTTGATTGGGTTGTTTTTTTCTTGTAAATTTGTTTGTAATGCTAGATGACGAGTTAGTGGGTGCAGCGCACCAGCATGGCACATGTATACATATGTAACTAACCTGCACATTGTGCACATGTACCCTAAAACTTAAAGTATAATAATAAAAAAAAAGAAAATTTAATTAAAAGGTGCAATTAAGTGCAATAAAGTAGGTAACACAACCATTAAAAAAAAAAAAGAAAATAATCTCAATTCCTGAAGAGATAAAGTAATTAAAATATCTTAAAGCTTTCTTCTCCTACCTGTATTCAGGCAAAATTTTCTTTCCTATTGATCAGTATTTATTGTTAAGAGTTTAGCACTTTCACTTAAACTGTCATTGAATTGGAAGTTTTCTTGATTATTTTATTTCTGAGCATAATCCTTGTTAGAATAGATAGATGGATGAAAGATAGATGATAGATAGATAGATAGATAGATAGATAGATAGATAGATAGATAGATCCAACTATTCCAAGATTCTAGAAATCTAGTCTGTAATCTCCATGTCTAGTCCAACATCATAACCTCAGCTCCTAGCACAATGCAAGCAGGCTGAGGTTATGGTGTTAGACTAGACAGAAATGGATATCAGCACATTACAAAGGTTGTTGATTAAGCCTTGACTTTGATCCTCAAGAAGGTAGATTTGATAAGTTATAACTCATAGAAGATTATTTTTTCATTTGTTTTCTAGTATTTGCTAACCCCTTCAATAAGGACACATGTAGAAGAAATTGAATTTGCAGTTGATTTTCGTGGTACAAAACATCTGAAGTAGAGAAAAGGATGGCCACATGGCAACAGAGAACTTCAGTGTTACCAGCTAACCCTAAACATAGTCTGATATGGTTTGGACATTAGTCCTCCCTAAATCTCATGCTGAAATGTAATCCCCAACATTGGAGGTGGGGCCTGGTGGGAGGTGTTTGGGCCATGGGGGTGGGTCCCCCATGGCTTGGTGCTGTCCTCACTATAGTGAGTTCTCATGAAAGCTGGTTGTTTAGAAATGTGTGGCACCTCCCCATCCCTTGCTCCTGCTCTCGCCATGTGACATGGTTGCTCCTGCTTCACTCTCCTCCATGAGAAAACTCCCTGAGGCCTCCCCAGAAACCAAGCAGATGCCCGGTGTCATATTGTACAGCCTGCAGAAATGTAAGCCAATTAAAACTCTTTTCTTTGTAAATTACTCAGCCTCGAGTACTCTTTTTGTAGCAATGTGAAAACAGCCTATCACAGAGTCCATCTAAATACAGTTCTTCAATCCCAAATTCAACCATCCTGGGAGGTCATCATGATCTTAATGGTGAATGATATAAAATGTTCAGGGATACCCAGCACTCTGTGAGCAGTCTATGGGGTTCTGGGATTGCTTCTGCACCATTGGGTCAACTCAGGAAGATAAACATGGAAACAGAAACCTTTCTGCCCAGCTGAGATTCAAATTTATTGAGCTCACATACCCAGGGCTCCCTTGGTCAAAAGGATGCAACACTGAATGAAATAACAACATGGCGTCTGGCCAAAATAGTCCTATAACCTAATCATTGACACCTTTCTGGGGTAACTTTGATTATACAGGTGTATTAGTTCTTTTTCACACTGCTGATAAAGACATACCTGAGATTGGGCAATTTACAGAAGAAAGAGGTTTATTGGACTTACAGTTCCACGTGGCTGGGGAGGCCTCACAATTATGGTGGAAGGTGAAAGGCACATCTCACATGGCAGCACACAAGAAACGAGAAGCTCCCTTTTTTAAAACCATCAGATCTCATGAGACTCGTTCACTATCACAAAAACAGCACAGGAAAGACCCGCCCGCATAATTCAATTACCTCCCACCAGGTTTCTCCCACGACATGTGGGAATTATGGGAGTTACAATTCAAGATGAGATTTGGGTGGGGACACAGCCAAACCATACCAAAAGGTAGGGAATGGCATTTTTTTACTGGCCTAGAATATGATCATGGAGAACAAGACTTTATAAGTAACAGAGATAAAACTATTGATGTGATGAGTTTGTGCTTTTTGTTATAAATTTTTTATTTCCCCCTCCTACCTTTTTCCTATCATTCTGGATTCTGCCTCAACTCAACCAAACACAATTATGGAGTAGGAAAATCCAGACCTTCATAAGATCATTTAAAAACGTTTATTGAGCACATACTATATTCCAGTCCTGAAGTTAGATTCTATGGAGATCACAATGAGCAAAACTGACACATTTTCTACCATCATCAGGACTTCAGGTTTGGGAGGGAGATGGTCACCAATAAAATAATCCCACAAATCATTATCTAATTGTGAATTGAGAGATGTGTTATGAAGAGCAGGATGCTGTGAAGCACCCAGAGGAAATAATAGGTTGTGCTGAATTCTGAAGCATGAGTATCAGTTAATTAGGCAGACGGCACAGAGAAGAACTGGGGCAGGGTTGGGGGACTGGTTCCAGGCAGGTGGATTAGCATGTAGAAAAGCAGAAACAACTGCAGAGCATCTCAAGAGTGGGAAGAAGGCCAGGATGGTTGAGCCCCAAGCATGATGGAGAGTAGTGAGATGAGGCCACGGAATAAGGCCACAGGCACAGCAGCAGACCCTTGGACACACGCTGGGGCCCTGAGGATTTTCTCCTCTTGGCTTTTCTTTATCCCCTCACCTAGTATCCTCAGAGCTCCCCCAAGCTTGCATCCAACTTGGCTTTGCACACTCTCCTCATGAATTTCAAAATCCTCACTCACTCCTCCTCCTCCCCATGAAAACATCCAGGCTCTCATCCTGGGCTAGCCTGGGGCAACACTATTTATGAGCTCCTGTCCCTTCCTACTGTCAGTTCTGCCTCCTTGGCCTTGCTGCTTCTTCAGCGTGAAGTGTCTTGCTATTTTTTACTCCCTCTTGGTTCAAATTTATTCTCAGATCCTTCTTTTGATGATGTATAAATGCCTGGCTAGAGCTTCCTGTGTAATTCTTCCCAAGGATATTGGATATTGAAAGGGAAAGCAAGGCTTCTCTGATTTTACAAAAAGGAATCCCCATTCAGGGTCTCCAGAGAATGTATCTTTCAGAAAGCGGGGATATTTGTAGACTGACATTCTGGTGCTTTTAAAATCTGCTGTGTAACAACCTACCATTTTTCCCAAACTAAACTTGTCTGGCTCCTAGTAGAAATAGATGAGATCATTGCAGCTGCATTCAATAAACCAGTGGTTCTCAAGTGAGGGGAGATTTTTCCCCCAAGAGACTTAAAGTAATATCTGGAGACATTGTTGGTTTTCGCATTGGAATGAGATGGTGATGCTACTGGCAGCTAAAGTAGAGGTCAGGGATGCTGCTAAATCCTAAACATCCTCAATGCACAAGACAGTCCCCCAAACAAAGAATTATCCAGCCCTAATTGTTAATAGTGCCGAGGCTGAAAACCTCTGCAATAAGCCCTTCCAACTTGGATGTCAGTTCAAGGTCTACCCTCCTCAACCCTGATTAATATTATTCAGTTGCTAACCACCTCCACAATGCACTCACATAATTACTGCATGTATTTGTATATATTTTTGTTGATTATAGGTTTTTCCTTCTTGTCCCTCCAACTTAGACATTTGAGGTCTTCAAGGAAATAAAACATCCTTTATATATACTTAGTAACCCAGTAAGCCCTGGTTGAGCAGTTGGCATCTGGCAGTCTTACTCTGTGTTGATAAGGATTATACAGACTGCCAAAAAGTACCAGATCTCCCTTTGGCTTTGCACATTCTCCTTGTATAGGAGATGGGATTGCTGCAATGGACCCAGGGCTTCTCTGTGTAGGAAGGGACAAGGGAATTAAATAGTAAAGATAGAACTGATCATTCTGTGGTGACAACAATACCAAAATCTCAGTGACTTTAAAACCACAAGACTTTATTGCTTACACACATAGCCACTGCAGACTAGCAAGGGGTTCTGGTCCTCCTAGTTCAGGGACCCAGGCTCTGTCATCCCAAGATGGGACTTTGGGGTTTACTTCAGGAGGGAAAGAGACTTTGGAGGATCAGGCCTCACCCCAGAATTGATACAAGCCACTTCTGCTCATGGCCAATAGGTCAGAAATACCCACACAGCCCCATCTAGCCTAGAAATAACAGCAAGCAGGACTAGGAGTTGTGGAGAGCAAATAGAATATTCACTGAGTTCGAAGTCAGCTTCACCGCTTACAATCTGGGGTAAGCTATTTAACTTCTCTAGGCCTCAGTTTCTTCATCTGTCAAATGGCAATCATAATAAATAGATACTTCAGAGTGGTTGTGAGGATTAAATGAAATGTTCTATTTACAATCCATGGCACACTTCAGGCATATAGTACAGGCTCAGTAAAGGAAAGCTGCTATTGTTATTACAATGATGACTATAACGATAATGTTGTTGTTCTTGTTCTTTGGGCCAGGAGATCATAAGGCAAAGTAAACCCAAGTAGAGGCTGTGCCCTGACTGGCTTTTTCTCACTGTGGTAACACAATGACTTGTCATTTTGTGTGTATTTTTGTTGTGTCCCTGAGGATGGCATTTACTCTTTGTTCTTTCATCCAAAATCATTTTTGAATACCTACTGTATTCCAAGCATTGTTCAAAGGGCTGAAAATAGAAAGATGAGTAAGACCTTGGTCCTGTCCTTCAGGAGTTCACAGCCTGGGGATGGGGAGGAGGTCTAAGGGAGCTAGGGGACAGCACGCAGCCAACTGAGGAGGGAAGAATTATGTCACAAAGGCTTCATGGAAGAACTGGTGACTGAAGGGCAAATAGAAGTTATCAGAGAAGGGGTCTAGACAAGGGAGAATGCAGTCAAGGAAAGAAGATTAGCAAAGGTATAGAGAGAGCTCGCTGCATGCTATAATTTAGCAAAGTCAGAGCAGTGAGTGGAGGAGAAGGGGCAGGAGATGGGGTGGGAGGGGTCTCTGTACAAAGAAGTTCAAGCAGGACAGTGATGTGATCAAATTTGTTTTTGAAATAAATCTATTTAAGTGGGTGTATTAGTCTGTAAGGGCTGCCATAACGAAATAGCCATGGGGTGGCTTAAACAACAGAAATTTACTTTCTCACACTTCTGGAGGCTGGAAGTCGAAGACCAAGATGGCAGCAGGATTGGTTTCTCCTTAGACCACTCTTTTTGACTTGCAGATGGCCGCCTCCTCTCTGTGTCCTCATGTGGTGTTTTCTCTGTGGTGTACACATCACTGGTGTCTCTCTCTCTTCTTATGAGGACATGAGTCCTACCAAATTAGGGCCCCATCTTATGACCTCATTTAACCTTGATTACCTCCTTAAAGGTCCCATCTCCAAATATAGTCCCACTGGGGGTTAGGCTTCAACATACAATTTGGTAGGAGGGACAATTCAGTCCATAACAGTGGGCAAGTTTGGCGGCAGACAAACCAAAGAGGAGAAAGCTGCCATAACTCAAGCAAAAAATTCTGAGGCCTGCACCGAGTTGGTGGGTGTAGGAATGAAGAAAAAAAGAAATATCTGAAGGCTGGCCATGGTGGCTCACTCCTGTAAGCCCAGCACTTTGGTAGGCTGAGGTGAACAGATTGCTTAAGCCCAGGAGTTTGAGACCAACCTGAGCAACATGGCTGTATTGGTCCATTTTCACACTGCTGATAAAGACATACCCAAGACTGAATAATTTACAAAAGAAAGAAGTTTATTGGACTTACAGTTCCTCATGGCTGGGGAGGCCTCACAATCATGGTGGAAGGCAAGGAAGAGCAAGTCACATCTTACATGGATAGCAGCAGGCAAAGAAAGAGACCTTGTGCAACAAAACTCCTGATTTTAAAACCATCATATCTCATAAGAGTCATTCACCATCACAAGAACAGCGCAGGAAAGACCTGCCCCCATAATTCAGTCACCTCCCACAGGGTTCCTCCCATGAGTTACACATGAGGAACACAGGGTTCCTCCCATGAGTTACAATTCAAGATGAGATGTGGGTGGGGACACAGCCAAACCATATCATTCCATCCCTGGCCCCTCCCAAATCTCATGTCCTCATGTTTCAAAACCAATCAAGCCTTCCCAAAAGTCCCCCAAAGCCTTAGCTCATTTCAGCATTAACCCAGAAGTCCACAGTCCAACATTTCATCTGAGACAAGGCAAGTCCCTTCCACCCATAAGCCTGTAAAACCAAAAGGAAATTAGTTACTTCTTAGGTACAATGGGAGTATGGACATTGGGTAAATACAGCTATTCCAAATGGGAGAAATTGGCCAAAACAAAGTGGCTAAAGGTCCCATGCAAGTCTGAAATCCAGCAGGGCAGTCAAATCTTAAAGCTCCAAAGTGATCTCCTATGACTCCAAATCTCACATCTGGGTCATGCTGATGCAAGAGGTGGGTTACCATGGTCTTGGGCAGCTCTGCCTCTGTGGCTTTGCAGGGTATAGCCTCCCTCTCAGCTGCTTTCACAGGCTGGTGTTGAGTGTCTGTGGCTTTTCCAGGTGCATGGTGCAAACTGTCAGTGGATCTACCATTCTAGGGTCTGGAGGATGATGGCCCTCTTCTCACAGCTCCACTAGATGGTGCCCCAGAAGGGAATATGTGTGGGTGCTCTGACCCTGCATTTCCCTTCTGCACTGCCCTAGCAGAGGTTCTCCATGAGCGCCCCAAGCCCTGTGGCAAACTTCTGCCTGGGCATCCAGGCATTTCCATACATCTTCTGAAATCTAGGTGGAGGTTCCCAAACCCCAATTCTTGACTTCTGTGCACTCAAGGGCTCAACACCACATGGAGGCTGCCAAAGCTTGGATCTTGCACCCTCTGAAGTCACAGCTCGAGCTCCACGTTGGCCTTTCAGCCATAGCTAGAGTGCAGTGCACCAAGTCCCCAGCCTGCACACAGCACTGAGACTCTGAGCCCAGCCCATGAAACCATTTTCTTCTAGGCTTCCGGGCCTGTGATGGGAGGGACTACTGTGAAGACCTCTGACATGCCCTGGACACATGTCCCCCATTGTCTTGAGGATTAACATTCAGTTCCTTGTTACTTATGCAAATTTCTGCAACTGGCTTGAATTTCTCCTCACAAAATGGGTTTTTCTTATCTATTGCATTGGCAGGCTGCAAATTTTCCAAACTTTTATGCTCTGCTTCCCTTATAAAACTGAACGCCTTTAACAGCACCCAAGTCACATCTTGAATGCTTTGCTGCTTAGAAATTTATTCCACCGGATACCTTAAATCATCTCTCTCAAGTTGAAAGTTCCACAGATCTCTAGGGCAAGGGCAAAATGCTGCCAGTCTCTGCTAAAACAAAGGAAGAGTCACCTTTGCTCTAGTTCTCAACAAGTTCCTCATCTCCATCTGAGACCACCTTAGCCTGGATTTCATTGTCCATATCATTATCAGCATTTTTGTCAAAGCCATTCAACAAGTCTCAGGGTGTTCCAAACTTTCCCACATTTTCCTGTTTTATTCTGAGCCCTCCAAACTGTTCCAACCTCTGTCTGTTACCCAGCTCCAAAGTTGCTTCCACATTTTCAGGTATCTTTTCAGCTGTGTCCCATTCTACTGGTACGAATTTACTATGTTAGTTCATTTTCATGCTGCTGATAAAGACATACCTGAGACTGGACAATTTACAAAAGAAAGAGGTTTATTGGATTTATAGTTCCATGTGTCTGGGGAGGCCTCACAATCATGGCAGAAGGCAAAGAGGAGCAAGTCACATCTTATATGGATGGCAGCAGGCAAACAGAGAGCTTGTGCAAGGAAACTCCCATTTTTAAAACCATCATATCTTGCGAGACTCACTCAGCATCACAAGACAGCATAGGAAAGACCTGCCCCCATAATTCAATCACCTCCCACTGGGTTCCTCCATGACATGTGGGAATTGTGGGAGTTACAATTCAAGATGAGATTTGGGTGGGAACACAGACAAACCATATCAAAGGCAAAACCCTGTCTCTACTAAAAATACAAAAAATTAGCTGGGCATGGTGGTGTGCACCTGTAGTCCCAGCTACCAGGGAGGCTGAGATGGGAGGATCACCTGAGTTCAGGTGGTTAAGGATGCAGTGAATCGTGACTGCATCACTGCACTACAGCCTGGGTGACAGAGCAAGACCCTGTCAAAACAAACAAACAAAACAAACAAACAAAAACAAGAAAGAGAGAGAAAGAAAGAAAAAAAGAGAAGTATCTGAAAATTTTTAAGTTGGTAGAATTGACAGGATGTGATAACAGAACAGTGGTATGACTTAGGTAACTGGGTAGAGAATAACAACACTATGAGGTAGAGAGAAAGCAGTATATAGGGGAAAGACAAAGAGTTCACTATTTAACTGTTGATTTTGAGTTTCCTAGAGGACCTACCAGCAGAGAAATTAAGCATATAGTAGGTACATGGTCTGGCTTAGGAAAGAAATCTAGACTGGAAATACAGATTTGGGAATTGTCAGCATGGATAGAGGCTAGCTAAGGACGTGAAGGTAAATGAAGACACCCAAGGAAAGTAAGCAGAGTGAAAAGAAGAGGTGGCCAAAATCCAAATCCTAGAAAATGTCATTTAAAGAGTGGGTGGAATAAGCATTATTCAGAAAGGTGCTTGAGAAAAAGAACCAGGAAGGGAATTGAAAAATCAAGAGCATTTGAGGTCACTAAAGCCAGGGGAGGAAAGGATTTCGGATAAGGCTTGGTCAGCAGGGTCAAACGTCACCAAAACATTCACAATGTGGATTTAAAAATAGATTCACATGCAGATATCATGAGTGACCTCCATCAGAACAGTTGTACTGGGGAAGACACAGAAGCCAAACTGGCAGTATAACATGAGGAAGACGAGGCACTGAGTAAATTAACCTTTTAAATTTCTTGACTGGGCATGAAATGACAAGGAAAGAATAGAAACTAGAAGGAATTTATAAGCAAATCAAGGATTTGGCTTTGTTCAGGTAAAAGACTTAGGCACATTTATATGTGGAGGGGCATGTGCCAGTTAATAGGTAGGTTGAAAATATAGAGAGTATAGGAAACTTATGGCCTAAGGTTCCCAAGGAATCAGGGGTGTGCAATCCAGGGTCCAGGAAGAAGAAATAGCATCAGGCATAAGAATCTTCTGCATAAGCAGATTATGTCCCTGAAGTCAAACAAAAAAGTCAGAATACCTAGACTCTCCCTCTGCTGTCCATACAAGCCCTAGAATAAATTCTTCACATTATCACTTCTGCTTTACTGGGGGCTTTTGCCCTGCTCCGTTATCTCCCTCTTTTTCAGGACAAACACATTTTTCCAGGTTGGGCTATTGTTAACTACACATCTGGGACTTGGCACAACTCCTTAGCACCTAGTAGGTTCATTAAATACCGGCTGAGTAAATCAACCCAGGGACAGAGCCTTAGCCTGTTCAGTGCAGACTCTGCACTTTCCCATAGTCACCAGAGAATGGACCATATGGGTAGTCAGGTGAAAAGAACAGGCAGACACACGTGCAGGGAAGCTCTCTAGGAAAGATTCATTATTCATTCCACAAACATTTACTGAGTGTATGGTGCTGCCTTCAACTATAGAACAGATGGCCCAAGGCAACTGATATACAAGGCCTCCTCCAAACTGGAGGATTCCCTGCTCCCCGCAAATGACAAATCAGTGGCTTCTGCACGTACCCATCTGCCGTGATCTGGAGCCCAAATATTCTCTCTGAATCCCAGGCATGGGAAAGCAGATCACTACCAATTTTTCTTTCTGTCAACAGGAGTTGAGGAATAATTATGCCCAATTGACATAAGCAGCTCCGATTGCCTTCAGAACTTGGCCTGAAGCCCAATTATATTCCTCTAGCTTGTGCCACAGTACATGAAAAGTACAATTTGTCTCATTTCCTTCTCTTACTTTTTAGAATATTCAAAAAAATTGGCTTAGTGAAACCAACCAAGCATGTTCTTTAAGAATAATTTTGAACACAATCCATAAGCCAAGTTAATATGATATATATTCTAAGAGAAATTCAGTTGAAAGAACCTAGATAATTTTTAAATTACATGCACATGAGTAAAGTATATTGCATACAAATAATTTTAAAATGCTGTTGCTAGGTTGAATATAAATCAAAGTGGTAAATATGTTCATGCATACACACACATAAGGTCCCACATTCGCCAATGTGCTCTTTTGTAAAAATTATTTTCTAAGCTGGTTGTTCGAAATTTAGATTGTATGTTTCCAGAAATAATGTGTAAATGGAAGGCAGCTTCCCAGGGTCGTCCTTCCAAAACTAACTTCACCTATAATTCAGATGAACTTGGTAGGACTGATTTGATTCCCAGTGGCAATGGAGTATGTATTCAGAAGGAGAGAAAAAGAAGAAAGGAGAGCAGAGGATTTAAAACAAACAAACAAACAAACAAACAAACAAAAAAACAGCTCCATGTAAAAACTGTTACTAGGTTGGGTGCTGGTCTTTGCATCCTCCTCTTTCCAAGACCGCCATGCTGCCCTAAGTCTCATGTTCTGGAATCATTTCCCCTACCAAGACCCCCACTTGATACCAAAGGCTCCATAAACCAGCTGTGCTTATTCCTTGTCCATGACTAAAATCCACATTCCCCCAGAAACACAAACCCCACTCCATGGCACTGCCTGTGGGTTTACCCTCAGGAGAAGGTCCCAAGGTGGAACACGCTGGTGAGACCCAGAACAAGGGAGAGTTTGTTTGGCTCATATAGGAAGCTCAGCTTGCTCAGTTTTGTTTTCTTTCTTTTCCAAACTAATTTGGTTACTAATACTCTAAAAAGCAGAGTAGATATTATGAGTGCTCACCAACGTCCACTTAGCCTCTTCTGGGCACACCTCTCAGTCCCTTAGTAGTAGGTGGAGCCACACGACCACCCTGGCCAACAGACCATGAGCAGAAATGACATGTGTCCTTAAGGCAGAGGCAGGGAAAAGCTCCTCTGTGAGATGACCCACTCTTTCTGTTTCTTGATGTACTCGTTTCCTAGGGCTGCTATAACAAAGTACCATAAACTGAGTGGCTTCAATAACAGGAATTTGTTGTCTCACAGTTCTGGAGGCTAGAAGCTTGAACTCAAGGTGCTGGCAGGGTCGTGTTCCCTATGAAGACACCAGGGAAGGATCTGTTCCAGGTCTCTATCCGAGGTCCTGGTGGTTCCTTGGCTTGTGGCAGCATCACTCCAATCTTCGCGTGATGTTTTCCCTGTGTATGTGTCTCTCTCTGTGTCCATAATTCCCCCTTTTTGTAAGGACAGCAGTTCTACTGGGCCAGGGCCCACTTAATAATATCATTTTAACTTGCTTACCTCTGTAAAATCCTGCCTAAATAAGGTCACATTCTGAGGTACTGGTGGTTAAGCCTCAAACATATCTTTTTAGGGAGGATGCAATTCAACCCATAACACATGGCCACTGGGAACATGGAGACCTGGTATTGAGATGGTGGAGCTGGGATGGCTGAGTTGATGCAGAGAGGGAAGCTGCCCTGGAAAGTTATCCAGATTGCTTGAATACTTCAAAGTGGGATAAATAAACTTTTCTTAAGCCACTGGCATTTGGGGAGCTGTTGGTTTTCACGGCATAGCCTAGCCTAGCCACATAATGATACAAGAATATTTTATGTAAAAATCTATACTGCTTCCTTGGATGATGTAGCTTGCTGGGCATGTGTCTCTGCATGGCAACCATCAGCAGGCAATTGAAGAGCAATAATTTCCTTAGACTGAATCAAATTCTGCTTCCAATTCCCCCATGCACTACAATCCCTGCTACTCCCTAACATTACCCCGAACTATTATATCAATGTCTATCTTCCCTTGTGTCTCTGCTCCTCTTCTTCTTACTCTTACCTGCTTTGTTTATATTACCTGTCTGGCCTCTTTAAGCTTGTGAGGCTGCCAACTCCGCTCTAAACTGGCCCTGTTATTTATAGCTGCCTCCTTATTTCCCTTTCTGAACCTTTAAATTATAACCTTTGTTTGTGCTCTCAATAGTTCCCCAGGTAGCTGCAGGTTATAATGGAGGAGTAAGTCCTTTTGAGCTTAGGGTTCATAATCACCTGTTTTTCCTGTTCACTTTAAACATGGAGGCATAAACACATTTCAGGGGCAATTTCAAATATATGTTGAAAAGTCACCATAATGTCACAAATAAACTTTATACCTATTTTCAAAGCATTTGATACTCATAATAATTCTAATAGGTTAGTAGAAGTATTATTATCATCTCTTTATTGATGAAGAAACTAAAGAGTAAAGAAATTAGATGATATACCCACTGCCCCAGAACTGTCAGGGTGGAGAGGGATGAAGCCTGTAGCCCTTAGGACTCTAAGGGCAATGTCCTTCTCAACCTCAAGATCTCTGTTTCCTCATAGAACAAATGAAGTTATTTAACAAGGAGTAGGCATTCTCAGACATCAGCAAGATGGCCAACTAGAAGCCCTTCCACTTGCTCCCCACCCCCAACAAAGACAGACAAAACTAAAAATAAATAACAACATTTAAATGATAATAATTAAATACATTTAAATGTACTTACTACATTTAAATGAAAATAATTTAAAAAGAGCACCAGAGTACATCAAAGGAGTCACAGAAACCCTGGCAAGCACAGAAACTGAGGATAGCCACAGAAAGAACAAAGGAACCATTCCATCCCCAAGCTGGGATCAGCTGGGAGTCAGAAGGAACTTCCTTCTCTGGGGATAAGGTCAGCAAGAGGACGCCAGTGCCCTTATCAACACCCTGAACACCTACAGACCTCACCACTGGGGGCCCTGGCAGTCCTCACAGGCACTAAGCCCAGCTGAGAGAGCTGCCTGTGGTCCACAAAGCTGTGCTCCTCCCAGAGAAGGAGCCAACACTATGCCTTGCCCCTTGTGGTCCAAGCAGCTACTATGGTATTTTGTCTTGGAACTAGAACTACTGCTGGAGTCTATCTTGCTCTGGGGACAAGTGGCCATAGTACTCTTTTTTCCCTGAGGCTAAGCTGCTATAGAACCACCCGTACCTTGTGGCCCAAACATCCCTAAGCTGAGCTAACAGCAACTGTTTCACCTTTCCCATGGGGACAAGTAGTGGTGAAGCCACTCCATCCACCCCTCCCAGTCAAGGTTGCACCCCACCCCCACGAGCTGGAACTGAAGTTGAGCACTCTTTCTCTGGGAAATAGCATCTTGGCAGAGCAGCTCTATCTACCCCTCTCAGTGGCTGCTGTGCCCTGCCCCTAGGGGCCTAAGCTGAAGCTGCACACTGTCTTTCAAGAAAACATTACCTTAATGGAGCCACTCCATCCACTTCTCCCCATTGCTCTCAGGGCCAAGCTAAAGCTGCACACCCTCTCCAAGGAAACAGTGCTTTGGCTGAGCTGCTTCATCTACCCTTCCCAGTTGCTGCTGCACCTGTCCCAAGGGACTTGAGCTGACGCTATGCACTGCTTCCCATGGAAATGGTGCTTTCATGGAGGTGTGCCATATACTCCTCCCAGTCGATGCTACACCCTGCCACCTGTGCTTCAGGTGTGCTCAAGCAATGCCTGGCATCCTGGGAAATGGAGCCTTGGCCACCCAGAGCTGTCATGCCGCCCACTTCCTGAGCTGAAGTGATACCCTGACTCCTGGGAAAGCAGTACTTTGGCTTCCCAGATAGTCCTGCCTCCCTAGTACCTAAGTTGAAGCAGCACCCTGCCTCCAAGGAACCTGTGCCTTCATCCCCCAGAGTGGTGATGCACACAAGTACTAAGTGGAAGCAACATCATGCATTTTAGGGAAATGATATGTGGGCTGTCCAGAGTAGTCACCCTCACCAAGCCTGAGCTGAAGCAGTGCATCATCCGTGGGGAACTGGGGCCTTGGACGAGCTGAGCAGCTGAGTATTCCAGTGCTGACCTGCTATAATATCCCATGTTCCAGGGAAACAGAGCAGTGGCTGAACTGAAACACCCTTCCCTACAGGCCAAACATCTCTAGTGTCCTGCTTCGCTGGTACTATACTAGCCTTGTAGAGACTGAACTTCTGAGACATCCTTCTCCCTGGGTATTGGAGTCATTACTATGCTGCTTCCCAATCGCCAGGGCCAAAATGACAGCTACACTCTGCTCATCTTGGGTCCTTTCTGCCACTGCACCTGGTCTCACAGGTGTCAATCCTCACCATCCCAGAGTCTAGAGTCACTACTGCACAGGGCCTGATCCCCTGGGATCTGAGTTGCCACTGAGCCCTGTTGGCTCTGGTTTCTGAATTGCAGCCACGCACTGCTCTCTGAGCCCAAACCTCAAGAGCACTACTTCTTTCCTGGAGCTGGGCCAAGAGCTGTGCCTTGCCCACCAGGGTCAGAATAACAGTTACTACCCAGCCCCTGGGTCAAGCTGTTAGGTAGTGCCTCAGAGTGACAGAAACTGGCTCTGTGGGCAATGTAAATAAAACTTTGCCACAGAGAGTGAACCTGTACCCCAAGACCCAGATGCCACAATAGATTCATAAGACCTGAGCTTAGAACCCTGGCTCCACAACCCCATCAAGCATCTATACCTGGAACCCAACACAACTGAAGGTGCCTGTAGACACTATGTCAGGCCCATCATCAAGAGGGAGCCTCTCAACTTGGTCTCCCCATTGTGGGGAAAATGAAAATAAGAGGACCCCAAAAGCCATTGCCACTGAGGACTTTAACAACCTACATTGCCACCTTAGCTGCCACAAACTTCTACAGCCTGAGTCACTGAGGCACCCACAGTTATTGCTGACATTGATCACAGACGAAGAAGCAGAATGAAGACAGTACTACTGCATCTACTCAGAATCAGAGTCATCATGTCCTTCCCAACAAGCACACTAAGATCCAACTACAGGTGAAAGTCTTTCTCTACAAAATCCACTCTAGAAAGTTCAGAAGAGGAAAATGTTCCACCAGATATACAGACAAAAATGCAGGAACACAAGAAACATGAAAAAGGAAGAAAATATGACACCACCAAAGGAACACACTAACTTTCTGGTAAAAGACACCAAGGAAAAGGAAATCTATGAATTGCAAGAATGGAAATTCAAAATCATGATATTAAAGAAACACAGTGAGATACAAGAAAAGACATATAGACAATTCAGCAAAATCAGGAAAGCAATTTACAATATGAATAAGAAATTTAACAGAGTTATATATATTTTTAAAAAGCAGAAATCCTGCAGCTGAAGAATGCAATGAATGAAATAAAATATACAATCAAGAACTTCAACAGCAGCCTTGATTAAGCAGAAGAAAGAACTTGAGATAGGTTGTCTGAAATTACCCAGTCTGAGGAAAAATAGCAGAATGAAAAAGAGTGAAGAAAGCCTATAGAACTTGAAACAGCATTAAGGAAATAAATATTTACATTGTAGAGTTCCAGAAGAAAAGAAGAAAGGGGTTTTTTGAAGAAGAAAAAAAAACCGTATTTCATGGGATAATAGCTGAAAACATCCCAAGTCTTGGAATAAATATGGACAACTAGATCCAGGAAGCTCAGATACCCAAACATGTTCAACTCTAAAAGGTATTCCTCAAGGCATATTATAGACAAACTGTTAAATGTCAAAGATAAAAAGAGAATTCTAAAAACAGCAAGAGAAAAGCATCAAGATACATATAAGTGAATCCCCATTAGGCTAATAGCATATTTCTCAGCAGAAACCTTATGGGCCAGGAGAGAATGAAATAACATTTTCAAAGTGATGGAAAAAAACTGTCAGACAAAAATACTATACCCAGCAAAGATATCCTATCCTATAGAAATGAAGAAGAAATAAAGTGTTTCTCAGATAAGTAAAAACTGAGGAACTAGACAGGCATCACAAGAAATGCTCAAGGCAGTCCTACAACTTGAAGCAAAAGGATGATAGCCACCATTGTGAAAATATGCAGAAGTATAAAACTTACTGGTAGAGAACATACACAAAGGAGAAAGAGAAAAGAATCAAACCTTATCACTACAGAAAAACCACCAAACCACAGTGATAAACAATAAAAGAGGAAGAAAGGAACAAAGAATATACAAAACAACCGGAAAACAATTAACAAAATGACAGGAGTAAGTCCCTATCTAGCAATAATAACTTTGAATTTAGACCAAAAGATATAAACTGGCTGAATGGATTAAAAAAAAAAAAGACTCAACTGTATGCTGCCTATAAGGAACACTTTACCTGTTAAAAACACATAAAGACTAAAATTAAAGGATTAAAAAGTATTCCATGTAAATATAGGCCAGAAGAGAGCAGTAGTACTATACTTACATCAAATAAAACAGACTTTAAGTCAAAAATTATAAAAAGAGACAAGGAAGGTCATCAAATAATGAAAAAGGGGTAGTTCAGCATGAGGATATAACAATTGTGCATATATATGCACCCAACACCAGGACATCCACATATATAAAACAAATGTTATTGTATCTAAAAGGAGAGATATACCCCAATAGAATAATAGTTGGGAACTTCAACTCCCTACTCTCAGCATTAGACAGATCATCTAGACAGCAAATCAACAAGGAAGCACTGAATTTAAACTGCACTTTAGACCAACTGGATGTAACAGACATTTACAGAACACTTCATCCAACAGTTGCATAATAAACACTTTTCTCATCAGCACATGGAAAATTCTCCAAGATAGACCATATGTTAGGCCACAAAACAAATCTCTACAAATTTTTAGAAACTGAAATTCTGTTAAGCACCTTTTCTGACCACAATGCAATAAAACTAGACATCAATAACAAAAGGAACTTTTGAAACTATAAATACATAGAAATTAAACAACATGCTTCACCATAATCATTCACCATCATCAAGTATATTTATCCCAGAGATACAAGGATGGCTTAACATGCAAATCAATAAATATGATATATCACATCAATCGAATGAAAGGCAACAACCATACAATTATATCAATAGATGCAGAAGAAGCATTTGATAATATTCAACAGCACTTCATGATAAAAACTCTCAAAAAATTAGGTATAAAAGGAACATACCTCAACACAATAAAGGCCATATATTATACAAACACACAGCTAACATCTACTGAATAGGGAAAAGCAGAAAGCTTTTCCTTTAAGACCTGGGAAAGACAAGGACGCCCGCTCTTGCCACTCTTATTCATCATAATATTTGAAGTTCTAGCTATAGCAAATAGCCAAGAGAAAGAAATAAAGGGCATCCAAATTGAAGAGGGGGAGATAAAATTGTCCCTGCTTTCAAATTACATGATTTTATGTACCGAAAACCCTAAACGTCCCATCAAAAAACTGTTAGAACTTATTAACATATTCAACAATATGGAGAATACAAAATCAATATACAAAATCAATGAATTAGCTGAAAAAGAAATCAAGAAAGTAATTCCATTTACAGTAGCTACCAAAATATATACCTAGGAACAAATTTAACAAAGGAGGTGACGAATCTCTACAAGGAAAACTATAAAATACTGATGAAAGAAATTGACCACACACAATACACACACACACACACACACACACACACACACACACACACACACAGAAAGACTTTTCATGTTCGTGGATTGGCAGAATGAATATTGTGAAAATGAACATACTACCAAAAGTGATCTACAGGTTCAATGCAATTCCTATCAAAATACCAATGACATTCTTCACAGAAATAGAAAAAAAATACTAAAATTTATATGGAACTACAAAAGACCCCAAATAACCAAAGCTATTCAGAACAACAACAACAACAACAACAACAACAACAAAACCCAAAGCTGGAAGCATCACATTACTTGTCTTCAAAATATACTACAAAGCTTTAGTAAGCAGAGCAGCATGCTGCTTGCACAAAAACAGACACATACACCAATGGAACAGAATAAAAAACCCAGAAGTAAATCCATGTATTTACAGCCAACTGATTTTTGACAAAGAACACCAAAAACACTCACGAGGGAAAGGAATCTCTTTAACAAATGGTGCTGGGAGAACTCAATATCCACATGCAGAAGAATACAACTAAACCCCCATCTCTCACCATGTACAAAAATCAAATAAAAATGCATTTGAGACTTAAACTTAAAACCTGAACCTATGAAACTACCAGAAGAAAACATGGGGAAAACTTCAGGACATTGGACTGGGCAAAGATTTTATGGAGAAGACCTCAAAAGCACAGGTAACAAAGCAAAAATAAACAAATGGGATTATACCAAACCAGAAAGCTTCTGCACAGTAAAGGAAACAATCAACCGAGCAAAGAGACAACCTGGAGAGTGGAAAACAGCTGCAAATTAGTCATCCAACAAGGGACTAATATCCAGACTATACAATGAATTCAAACAACTCAACAGCAAAAAAGAAAAGAATCAGATTTTAAAATGGGCAAATGAGCTGAATAGACATCTCTCAAAAGAAGACATACAAATGGCCAATGGGTATATGAAAAAAATGCGCAACATCACTAATCATCAGGGAAATGCAAATCAAAACCACAATGAGATATCATCTCAGCCTAGTCAGAATGGTTATTATCAAAAAAGACAAAAGATAACAAATGCTGGCAAGGATGTGGAGAAAGGGGAATTCTCATACACTGTTGATGGGAATGTAAATAATACAGCCATTATAGATAACAACCAACACAGGAAACAGCATGGAGGCTTCTTACAAAAAGTAAATATTGAGGTACTATGTGATCCATCCATCCAACTACTGAGTATATATCCAAAGGAAAGGAAATCATTATGTTGAAGCTGTATCTGTACTCTCATATTTATTGCAGCATATTCACAATAGCCAAGATGTGGAATCAACCTAGGTGTCCATCAACAGATGAATGGATAAAGAAAATGTGGTGCATGTACACAATGGAATACTATACAGCCACAAAAAGAACGAAATCCTGTCAATCCTTTCATTCACAGCAACATGGATGAGCTTGGAGGACATGTTAAATGGAATAAACTAGACACAATAAAATAAATGCTGTATGTTCTCCCTCATATGTGGAAGGTAAAAAAAAGTCGATGTCAGAATCAGAGAGTAGAACAGTGGTTGCTGGAGGCTGGGAAGGATAGAGGGAGGTGTGGATAGTGAGAGGTTGATTAGCAGACATAAAATTACAGCTAGACAAGAGGAATAAGTTCCAGTGAATATTTCCAACACAAAGAAATAATACATGTTTAAGGTGATAGATATGCTATTTATCTTGATGTGATCATTACACATTGTATACATATATCAAAATATTTCACTGTACTCCATAGATATGCACAATTATTATGTGTCAACTAAAAATAATAAAGCAAAAAAAAGGAGTAGGAGTTTCTGAATTTCCATTTAGCTGTGGAAGCCTCATACTAGCCCAAGCTCATGTGGAACAGTCAAAAGCAGGAAAGCAGCTCTTGCTGAAGTAGAGGTAGGCTCCAGAGTCAGGGAAGTGACATTTTGATACTGGCCACTGTTTTGATGAAGGAACATTTTAATTCAGGAGAAGATACAATCCGTTAAACTTTTACCTTAAAATTTTACCAATTTTCAGTCACGTGTGATGGCACATGCCTATAGTCCCAGTTACTTGGGAGGCTAAGGTAGGAGGATCACCTGAGCCTGGGAGACAGAGGTTGTAGTGAGCCAAGATCACACCACTGCCCTCCAACCTGGGCAACCAAGCAAGGCCCTGTCTCAAAAAAAAATTACCAATTCTCTTTTAATTAGCAAATGTAGTCAATTGAATAATAGCCCCCCTCCCCCGCAAAAAATAAGTTCACCTCCTCCTATCCCTAGAAGCTGTGAATATTACCTTAGGTGGTAAATAAGTGAATGTTACCTTATTTAGAAAAAGGAAATTTGCAGATAAAATGAAGTTAAAGAATTTGAAGATGAGGAGATGATCCTGAATTATCTGGGTGGGCTCTAAATCTGATGACACCATCCTTATAGGAGACCAAAGAGGAGAAGGCACAGACACAGGTCATGTGAAAACAGAAGAGGCTGGTTTTATATAGCCACAAGCCAGGGTACACCTTGTACACCTGGTGTAAGGTAAGCCAGGTACACCTGGAGCCACCAGAAGCTAAAAGAGGCAAGAAAAAATCCTCCCTTAGAGCCTTCTGAGGAAGCACAGCCCTGATGACACCTTGATTCAGACTTATGGCCCCCAGAAGTGTGAAAGAATAAATTTCTGTTGTTTAAGCTACCAAGTGTGTGCTTGTTATAGCAGCGACAAGAATCTCATACACCAAGTAATATGAAAATCCAATAAGCCCACCCTATACCTGAGCATTACTGCACTGCCAACACCATTTCAGGATGAAAAATTGAGGATAAGGTCAAGTTGAAGTATGCAGTAAGGGTGGGATGAGGTTCAGAGATGGAGTGAGATCCCAAAATTTTCCAAGCCTTTACTTATGCTTTGGCATAAGTAAATTAAATTCTCTCATTCATCCATCAGAGTTAAAGACACTATGAGTATGATTTAGCCTCTTGTTCTCAGCTCCTGACTGCACAGGAAATTGCCAATTACTAGCAGTTAGGAATTTCTAGCAGTTCTCTCAGAACTTTTGGTAATATACATTTTCATTTCATAATATCGCTATGCAATGCTGGTTTGGGGAGATAAGCCTGATGCTCCTAAGACTTGATCCCAGTTTAATCAGACTTATAAGAAATATCTTTAATATTATTTCCAAGTAAAAGTAATAAATATGTATAAAAATTCAAACAATAGATAAGTGAATAAAATAGAAAATGAAAATCACCATAACAGGGGTAGAGGTTGGAGTAGACTAAGAATTAAGGGTAGCTATTGCATACATTATTGATGATAAGGACCAGTGATTTTATTATTTTATAGGATTATTTTGTGCAGCCATGCCATGACAAAATACCTGCATTAAAATCACTGAGCCAAGATGAAACTTGCATCAAGGTAGCCATGTCAAAGTGCCCTGCTTTTCCTGGAGAACCGTCCACTGTCCCTGACCTTACAACACCCAGGAAGTCCTTTAACAGACTCCCAGTAACTCCTAAGAAATCTTTGACCATAGTTTAAAAAACATTGAGTGAGACATTCTTAAAATGCCTCTCAGCTGTGACATTCAATAAATGTATGTGGATATGGATGTGTTCAACAGACAGTCATAAAAAAACACAATGCAATAGAAAGCTACTGAAATGATACCCATAAACCAGTTAATGCCTGTCAGCAATCAGAAAACTAGTAGCTTCTGTCTCTATTTATACTTATGGTTGCAACTTAATGATGTTTTTACTTAACCGATGGCAGCTGTCTCCATGAAAAGCTATTAGCACATTAGGTCTTTATTGAAACTGACAAAGTAATAAATAATGTTTGTGACTTCTCTTTTGTTCACAAGGTTAATTGTTGTTTAATAATATTCTTGTGATGTGTTACAAGCTCCCAAGGAATTATACATGCAAACCATTAGACTAAAAACAGAAGCCTCAACAATCTACTCATTTACAAATTGTTGATAGATCTAAAACACAAAGATAGTAAAGTACCAGGTAATATGATGATTACCCAAGATTTTGCATTATTTCTAATTTTTAATTTAAATCAATAGATGCTTATTTAGCAAAATACTAAGCTAGAAACTCAGGAGGTACAAAGATTTAAAAGACACTACTTCTGTTCTTAGGAAATGTCCAATATAGTTGAGACACTGTACACATATTAGTGAATTATTTAACAAGCTGTATTCAGAGGATACAAAGAGAAAACTACGTCTATTTGGTTGTAATATATGATCTTTTTTACATACTGCTAGATTTGGTTTGCCAAAATTTGTTTAGGATTTTTTAAGCCTATGTTATTTGTTTAAGCCACTGTTTATCGGTTACTTTGCTACTTGCTGCCAAACACACCCTAAGTTACCTACCTGTGGTTGTTTAGGAGCCACTCCCTTCAAAGTGAAACAGGACCCGAGAGATCACCAATTCCAACCTCTCTGGCCTACCAGAGAGGAGGGTGGAGCCCAGAGAGATGAAGGAATTGGTCCAAACCACATGGCAGCAGCAAAGCCTCGACCAGGGCTCAGTTCCCCCAATTGTTCATTTCTTTGAGGCCTCAGAAGTTGGTTTCAGTTGTGCCAATACCGTCTTTTATAGTTTGCCCAGTTTGCACACAATACTTAAAATCCCAACACACAAATAAGACACAAAACAAAGATAGAAGGGGAAAAATGGTGATGATGATGATTGTGGTAGTAGCAATGGTGATGAAAATGGTGACATTAGATGTGTGAGGTCACCCGGTCAGTGGCTGCTAGTGTAAATGTGAATTCCAAGACTGGTCTGACTTCAGAGCCTGGATTCTAAACTGCAACACTACAGGCTATGCAGCTCTGGTAAACCCTGCCCACCCTGCAGGTCTATGGGAGCTGGACAGGGGCACTGAGAAGTCCTTGCTGATGGAGTCTGAGAAAGTCCCGAGAAAGACTCAGATTACTACAGTAGCCCCAAATGGCATTTTTAATATTTTCGCTCTCTGTGGTGCATTCAGTTACCAAGACAATCATCTTAAATAAGAATTCCAGTGAAGCTCAGAGCAAATTAATTAGCCGTGCTGCAGACACATTAAGGCTCTGCAAGCAGTTACTATAGTAGGTAACCTTGCATGTTTCACAAAGTGTGGCATTTTCATTTCAGCCTATGTTGAATAATGAATAATTTTTCCTGCCCCCTGCTAAACAGTGAATGATGAGAAGCCCTTTGGTAATTCAGTGATGTTGAATTAATCTGTTGGTAGATTATCCATATTTTCTCCAAAGCCACCATCCCCTTATTCTAGGTTTCTCCCACTTCCTGCCCCTCCTTCCCCGACAAATGCTATCACATACCTGGAAAGGAGATGGCACTCCATTCCCGAATACAGATCCAGCATCTGACAGCAATGCCAGCAGCGGGAACTTCCAGTGTGGGAATGTAGATGGGAGTGGTGCAACAGGCCACCTGGGCATTCCAGACAATCCAGATACAGTGGTACTGCCCGGCAGCCTCAGCACCCACCCTGAATCCACCTGGCCGTGAGGCATCACGTGGCATTGCCTCCCAAGGAAAACAATCCCAACACCCTCTGTTGCTCTCAAGCCCCATCTCCTGCTTTATTTGCTTTCAGAAAAAAAATAATATATAGATATAAAATATATTATTTAGTATTATTTCGCTCCACCATTGATGTAAATGCCATGATAGCAGGAACTTTGTTTTGTTCATGGCTGTCTCTCTAGCACCTAGAACAGTGCCTGGCACGTAAAGGTGCAAATAATATTTGCTGAATAGTTAAACTCCAAATGCATTTGCCAGTAATGTCAATTTTACTGAGGATTTCCTTGGGAGGTGGAAGACAGAAGGAAATTTTATCACGTGGCAAGACTTCACCCAGTCCCCTACCACATGTCTGTTCTCTGATCTAACTCCTCTCCTTTTTCCACCCAGCCTTCACAGATGCCCCTCAATTGTCCCAACCATCCAGGAGATACATGCCCTACCATCAAAGCAAAACCCAGCATCACTGCACCTTCTCCTCACCTCCACCTTAGAAATCACTTCAGCCAAAGACAAAGCCACCCCAACATCAACAGGGAACTGACTAAATAACTTATAATGCATTCATAAAGTGAATATTATACAGTTATCACAAAGAATTAGGTTGACAATAGACAGACAGGTGATAACAATGACCAAGACATATTATTTAATGAAAAAAGCAAGGCATGATACCACATGTATACTATGCTTCTATATGTGTGTGTATATATATATGTGTGTGTATGTATATATATGTATTTGGGTATGTGTGTGGAGAGAGAGAAACATATATTAATATCTGCTTAGAAGATCTCTGAAAAGACAAAAGAAACTGTTAATTGTGGCTGCCTTTAGGGAACAGTACCAGGAAAATGGGACAATTTTGGAAAGATATTTACTTTTTAGGGTTTAGGTTTTTTTGGTACTGTTTGAAGTTACAGTTTTTTAGGGTTTTTAATTTGATGTGTTTGTGCTTTTATTAAAAAATTAAATAAACACAATTACATACAAAACAAAAGTAAGAGTGCAGAGGAACAGGCAGTCAAATAGCCAACAATGCCATTGATTAATCTCAGCATGACTCTGAAATAACTCACCCAACCAAACAGGAATTTTGTGCCCTGGAGTGTCTACTGATAACATAAGACTTATTCTATCTTTTTTTCATAGGAATTGAATCTCTACACTTCTATTCTCTGCCAGAGTGAAACCTCAAAGTACATAATGGCACCCTCCGCTGGATCCCAAGGCCAAAGAAACTCAATGAGTTGGTAATCAACTTAAAAATGCATTTGCTCCAGAGAAGCTATTTAGATTAACTTTGGAGTTGGTCTCCCTAGAATTTTTAGTTCCCCCAGCCATTCTTTTCCAGGAAAATAATTTTGAATCAGAATAAATTAGCCTTTGGGATAACAACACAATGTAATGAGTGTTTGTAAATATGTTACATTTATCAAGAACTCTCCAATCATGTCAATTGGTTTTCTGGAATATATTTCTCACTGAATTATTTATTATCTGCTGGTCCTGTTTCCTGTATTCACCAGTTGCTAATATGTCCTATAAAGTTGTTAGGTCAATTGTTAGAATAAGAGAGAGCAAGAGCAAGTATTTTCTGTCTTTGTGTTAATTCCCAGGGAGGAATGCTACCTGTCCCCTGGAGGGTTCTCTGAACTCTCTTAGGAGGTGAGGGTGTTAGTTTTTGCCATGAGGTACTCTGGAAGCTGACACCCACCTTCAGTGGCTGACTGAGCCATGCTTAAGAGACAATGAGGGACAGTAAGGAGTTAAGTCAGTATCCAAAAAATGTCCCATCAGGGTCTTCCTCATCTCCCACAGATTCTGCTAGGGCCCTCACCTACACCTACACAAACACTTAACCAGTACCAAGATCTCTATATCCTGTCTCTTTGACTGAGTTAGTCAAAAAACTGAGGGAGATTTAGCATAGACAAGAGAAAGGGAAGGCTGGTGAATTTCACATGAAAGAAGTAGGGAAGGCCAGGTGCTGTGGCTCACGCCTGTAATCCCAGCACTTTGGGAGGCCAAGGTGGGCGGATCACCTGAGGTCAGGAGTTTGAGACCAGCCTGGCCAACATGGTGAAACCCCATCTCTACTAAAACTACAAAAAATTAGCTAGGCTTGGTGGCAGGCACCTGTAATCCCAGCTACTCGGGAGGCTGAGGCAGGAGAATTGCTTAAACCCGGGAGGCAGAGGTTGCAGTGAGCCAAGATTATGCCATTGCACTCCAGCCTGGGCAACAAGAGCAAAACTCCATCTCAAAAAAAAAAAAAAAAAAAAGGAGTAGGGAAAGTCCTTCTCTTAAGGTGATTCCACAGTATTTGGTGCCATCAAGGAGACCATGGTGGAAAGAAGGCTGCCTTTCTTACTGCCAAGGAAAAAATAGGTTGGATTTTATGCTTTCAAGCTAGCAGAAAAGAGAAGGGGCTGCAGTAAGGACTCAATAGCACATCTTGTGCTATCTGATTCTGGGTAAGTTAGATGGAAACTGCCAGCACAGATGTAGGTGAGTCAAGCACTGCAAACAAGTGTAGGTTCATATCTCCATAACTTTCTCTTTTGCATCTTCCTGAAATTAAAGAAAAATTGCTAATGTAATCAGCAAATTCCCAGATCATTTACCATTACAGAGAATAAATAATGTGGCATTTTAATTTAGTCTGATTAGCTAATAAAAGAGGTGCCATTTAGAGATGAATGATCCCCTACTTCTAGCCTTATAACTTTGTTCCTGTAATTTAAGGCCTTGGCAGTCATTTGCAAATCATTAAAGTCAGAGCCCACTTTAAACTCTTATCAGTCATTTACACCTAAGTGTGAATTAACATATATTACGACCCACCTCCCCCCACCAAAGAATAACTTTCATGGTGAGGAAGAGGAACAGAGAATGGTCCTGAGCATTTGAGGGAGTTGGAAAAGAGGTGCCACCAAAGAGTTGGGTAACTGGGAAGAAAAGAGGGGAAGTACAAAATCAGCATCGAAGACAAATTTCACCATTTTTCTTGGGGAGCAGGCTTAAGGGCAGCAGAGAGTTTTGGCGACCTCAGGTGTTTCTGTGCTCTGTTTGGTGGTAGAGAGCATGGCATTTTCTGATTCATATAACCACACGATCTTTAGAGGAGCCTCATTCATGGGTGTCTGCTAACTGCCCAAGCTGCGGTTGTTCTTGGCCCATTCCTCTAGCAGCAGAACAGCAGAACCTCACTCTAAAGTTTTGCAGGACTCATTCATTGCTGCAGAGTGTTACCTCCACCTGGCCACTTTCTCTTCTCCTAACCACAGTAATATGCATTACCTCCACCTGGCCACTTTCCCGTCTCCTAACCACAGTAATATGTACCTTGAACACTATACGATAAATATAGAATTCACAATGGTTTAAAAATTCATTTGCATGGTCTGTTATTGGCAACTTCTTGAAAAAACACCTCTAATGCTAAATGTGACTTGATGAAGGAAACCAATATTGGACTAGATTCCAGTTGGCTTCCACAGCCAGAGTTCTGATATTTAAGCACCCGGCCATGAACCATCTTTCTTATTTCTCTTTCTCTCTTACCTCTTCTCCTACCTTTTCCTGCTCTCCTCCTGTGCTTCCTGGCTTTTTGCTGACAGAGTTGTCTATTATGGCTGTAACTAGCCAATGAAAATGAATTTTTCTTTCTGGGCTGGTAAAATGACTAATCATAAGGCACTGCCTATGACTTTGCACCTTAAGCCCTTGGCTATTTTCCACAGAGCTTATACTAGTGTTTTTAAAGTTTCCTAAGGGCTTGTGATAGTCCTGGGAGTCTATGAGTGCTGGATGTTGTTGTGATACCACACAGAGCCTTCCTAACACTTGCTGATTGACACGAGGTAAAGCCACAGTCACAATTTCCAAAAATGAGGTGATTATATTACAGTAAACAAAGTCCTATATTTATCTAGAGCCTTCCATACATTATTATCCTGTTTGATCTTCTTAATAACCTTGTGATATAGGCAGGACAAAAACTATGTTAGTCCCACTTTATATTTAAGGATCAAAATCAGAGAAACTAAGTGAGTCAACTACACAAAATTAATACATTTCAGAGTGTGTCATCCTGCCAGTCATCCAACCAATTATTTAATCTCACTCATGAAGGTATTACCATGTATGAGTAGTGACTCTTTAATAACTATCAAGATCTACCAAATAAGTAACATGTTAGCTTGGCTGGGATTGCATTGATTAAAGACTGCATTTCATGGGGCCTTAAACTATATCCAAACAGCTTTTCTCCAAAGCAAAAGAATGGTTTCTGTCTAAAGAATTGTCTTTGAGGCCAGGCATGGTGGCTCACACCTGTAATCCCAGCACTTTGGGAGGCCGAGGCAGGTGGATCACTTGAGGTCAGGAGTTCGAGACCAGTCTGGGCAACATGGTGAAACCCCGTCTCTACTAAAAATGCAAAAATTAGCTGGGTATGGTGGCACATGGCTGTAATCCCAGCTACTCAGGAGGCTGAGGCGGGAGAATCACTTGAACCTGGGAAATGAAGTTTGCAGTGAGCCGACGTCAAGCCACTGCACTCCAGCCTGGGCGACAGAGCGAGACTGCATCTCAAAAAAAAAAAAAAAAGAAAAAGAAAAACTGTCTTTGAGTGAACGAGTTTGCTCTAATTTTTCAAATAACTCACACAGGCTCTGCTTGCCTCATCAGGCATGAATCAGATAAATTTAAATAAATAAATAAATTCATTTTACACATGGTTCCAAGTCAATAGGTTCAGAGTGAAGGCCTGCGTTTTACCCCACACTTATCCCATAAGGACAATGGGCTTTGGGATCACTATCTTCCTTGTTATGCAGATGCCCGTTTCACTACACTCTAGATACCATCAGTGTGCCCAGTAGTCAAACTCACCATAAAAATGCAAATGCATTGCGAAGCATTTGCACAGAAAAACAACCATTCTTTAATGTTTTCTAGGAAAATAAGGAAACCATAGTAAGATATATGCTGCATATTACTGCCACTTTTTTCAATCCCTATCACTGGACTTTTCTGAAATATTGGCAATATTTCAGGTTCTTTAGTCTAAATTTTCTTCTGGACTAAAGACTAAAAAAAAAGCTATACAGAGAGCTCAAAATAGTAAAAGCGTGCTGTAGAGAAGCACACCTCTCTGGTCTGAGAAATTAGCATTTCCTCTGCCTCATGATTCTGGTGAAGTGTCGAGTTGGAGTTCTGCAGGGGCAAGCAATGAAAGCTCACCTCAGGAGGTACAGCTGTGCTCAGGTTTAGAACAGTGAAGAACTACAGGTTTTCTCCCTGAAGAGCTGGTAAGTATTAGGAAAAAGTGGGAACACCACTATCTTTCTTTGTTCATGACAGGGATTACCCAAATCATTTGCCAAAAGGACAGGGCCACAGGTTTCAAATAAGTCTTTCAGGTTGAGATGGCACAGAACTCATTATCAGATTAGAGATTGAAGGCCACCAGGGTGACTGCTGCTGGGCAGACCTCCCAGAGCCCTGAGTCACTCTTCCTGAGGCTGTCCACCCACACTACTGCAAAAGCATGGTCATCTATCAAGTGGCTATAATATGTTTGTGAGGCTCAAATACTCAGATGCTTTTTAGGCCCTATTTTGTCAGACTTTTCATCACATAAATCATATTTCATCATCCCCTACTTCTTTAAATCCTCTTTTTTATCTGCTTCTATGACACCAAACTCTTATTCTGACAACCCTTTCTCAGTGTTTCACTGATACCTCCTCCTCTAACTAACTTCTAAAAGTTGGAGTTCCTAAAAGAGCTTTCAGTCCCTATTATTTTTCTATCCAGACTTTCTGTTTAGGTAATCTCATTCATTTTCATCATTCTGAATACTATCTATATACTACTGATACAAAAATTTTTCTCCACAGAGATCCCTCTTCCAAGTTCTAGCTTTGTTTATCCAACTACTTTCCTATTATCTTGCCTTAGATGTCTCAAAAGCTACTCAATTCAACAAAAGCAAAATTGAAATCTTTATCTGATTTCTTCCATACATTTTGTTCAATAAAAACAGGCTGCCACCTATCCTAGAAGAATCACTCTTGGTAATGGTAGACTAGATAAGTCAGACCAACTGTTCCACTGAGAACAACTAGAAAAGCTAGTGGAAAAGTTGTAAATCTGTTTGAGGGCCCAAGAGAACTAATACAGCAGTGAATAATTATGAGACCAAGACATAAGACAAGAAGGAGACCTAGAGTGATGAGCCCAGCATCTAAAATCACCTTTTCCCTAGGGACAACTTTCAATTTATGTAGAGATGGTGGAGAGGCAGAGAAACTGAGCAAAGCTTTCAATAAACTTATAAGGCAATAGGACATAGGTTAGAATTTAGGGCCTCCTAACAAAGGGAACCCTAGTAAACTCCTAGGCTTTGCTTTGAAACCCTGTATTAGGGTTTGTGTGTGCATGTGTGTGTGTGTGTAGAGAGAGAGAGAGAGATATTGAGATTTATTTTAAGGAATTTGTTCACATGATTGCGAAGCCTGGCTAGTCTGAAATCTGCAGGACAGGTCAGCAATCTAAGGAAGAGTTAGTGTTGTAGCTCAATCCAAAAGCAGTGTGGAGGCAGAATTCCTTCTTCCTCAGGGGAACCTCAGGTTTTTTTCTTAAGGCCTTCAACTGACTAGACGAGGGCCACCTACATTATGGACGAGGGCCACCCACATTACGGAAGGTAATCTGCTTTACTAAAAGCCAACTCATTTAAATGTTAATTTCGTCTTCAAAAAAATAACTTCACAGCAACATCTATACGGGTGTTTGGCCAAATATCTAGGTGCAGTGGCCTAGCCAAGTTAATGTATAAAATTAACCATCACAGACCAGAAGGGGCCATACCCTAAAAGGAAAGGTGAAGAAGAAAAAGGTAGCCCTTACAGAGTTTGAAGCCCAAATTATCTCAATCCTCAAATAGTATAAGATAATCAAGAATTACTAGTGCCCCTAGTGTCTTTTATAAGCAAACATGTCCCTTTCTCCAAAGGGAGATAATAGTATCATGGGCCTCAAATAATCTTTATAATCTTTATAATTTTTATATATAATGTTCGGAATACACTGAAAAATAATAGGCATATAAAGAAAGCAGACAATATGAGCAAAAACTAAGCAAAACAGCAAATAATAGAAACAGACACGTAAATATGTTAAATATAGGCAAGGAAATAATGTAAAAAATTAAGAATTTTGGCAGAAGCTGAAAACTTAAAAACAAAAGAACCAAATAAAAATTCCAGGGCTGAAACTACAATATCTGAAATTAGGAACCTAGTGAATCGCTTTAGTAGCAGATTGCATATATCAAAAAGAAAAAACAGTACATTGAATGTATTCAAACTGAAACACAGAAAACAAGTCTGTGAAAAGACCTAATGTATATGTAAATCAGAGTCCTAAAAGGAGAAAAATTAGACTAAGAGTGAGAAGCAACATTTGAAGAGATTCTGGTCAGAAATCTTAAAAACTTACAAAAGACATAAGTCCACAGATTTAAAAAATTCTATGAACCTCCAAACGTAATAGAACAAAGAAAATCATATCATAGGCTTATCATAGTAAAAATATTGAAAATCAAAGACCAAAGGGAAACATTAAAAGTAGCTGGGGGAAAACAGGAACCCAAAGATGGCCAAATAGGAACAGGTCCACTCTGCAGCTCCCAGTGAGATCAATGCAGAAGGCAGATGATTTCTGCATTTTCAACTGAGCTCTGAAGGGAGCAGTGGATCTACCAGCACAGTGTTCAAGCTCTGATAAGGGACAGACTGCCTCCTCAAGTGGGTCCCTGACCCTGGTGCATCCAGACTGGGAGACACCTCCCAGTAGGGGCCGACAGACACCTCATACAGGAGAGCTCTGCCTGGCATCTGGCGGGTGGCCCTCTGGGACAAAGCTTCCAGAGTAAGGAACACGCAGCAATCTTTGCTGATTTGCAGCCTCTACCAGTGATAATCAGGCAAACAGGGTCTGCAGCAAACTCCAGCCTCCAGCAAACTCCAGCAGACCAGCAGCAGAGGGGCCTGACTGTTAGAAGGAAAACTAACAAACAGAAAGGAATAGTAACAACATCAACAAAAAGGACGTCCATTCAGAGATCCCAACCAAAGGTTACTGACTTCAAAGACCAAAGGTAGGTAAATCCATGAAGATGGGGAGAAACCAGAACAAAGAGGCTGAAAATTCCAAAAAGCAGAATGCCTCTTCTTCTACAAAGGATCACAACTCCTCGCCAGCCAGGGAACAAAACTGCACAGAGAATGAGTTTGACGAATTGACAGAAGTAGGCTTCAGAAGGTAGGTAATAACAAACTCCTCCGAGCTAAAGGAGCATGTTCTAACCCAATGCAAGGAAGCTAAGAACCTTGAAAAAAGGTTAGACGAATTGCTAACTAGAATAACCAGTTTAGAGAAGAATATAAATGACCTGACGGAACTGAAAAACACAGCATGAGAACTTCATGAAGCATACACAAGTAACAATAGCTGAATCGATCAAGTGGAAGAAAGGATATCAGACATTGAAGATCGACTCAATGAAATAAGGCAAGAAAACAAGATTAGAGAAAAAAAGAGTGAAAAGAAATGAACAAAGCTTCCAAGAAGTGTGGGAAAAGACCAAATCTACATTTGATTGGTGTACCTGAAAGTGATGGAGAGAATGGAACCAAGTTGGAAAACACTCTTCAGGATATTATCCAGGAGAACTTCCCCAACCTGGCAAGAGAGGCCAACATTCAAATTCAGGAAATACAGAGAACACCACAAAGATACTTCTCAAAAAGAGCAACCCCAAGACATGTAATCATCAGATTCACCAAGGTTGAAATGCAGAAAAAATGTTAAGGGCAGCCAGAGAGAAAGGTTGGGTTACCCACAAAGGGAAGCCCATCAGACTAACAGCAGATCTTTCAGCAGAAACCCTACAAGCCAGAAGAGAGTGGGGGCCAATATTCAACATTCTTGAAGAAAAGAATGTTCAACCCAGAACTGCATATCCAGCCAAACTAAGCTTCATAAGTGAAGGAGAAATAAAATCCTTTACAGACAAGCAAATGCTGAGAGACTTTGTCACCACCAGGCCTGCCCTACAAGAGCTCCTGAAGGAAACACTAAACATGGAAAGGAACAACCAGTACCAGCCACTGCAAAAACATACCAAATTGTAAAGCCCGTCAGTGCTATGAAGAAACCGTATCAACTAACAAACAAAATAACCAGCTAGCATCATAATGGCAGGATCAAATTCACATATAACAATATTAACCTTAAATGTAAATGGGCTAAATGCCCCGTTTAAAAGACACAGACTGGCAAATTGGATAAAGAGTCAAGACCCATCAGTGTGCTGTATTCAGGAGACCCATCTCATGTGCAAAGACACACATAGGCTCAAAATAAAGGGATGGAGGAATATTTACCAAGCAAATGGAAAGCAAAAAAAAAAGCAGGGATTGCAATCCTAGTCTCTGATAAAACAAACTTTAAATGAACACAGATCAAAAGAGACAAAGCAGGGCATTACACAACAGTAAAGTGATCAATGCAACAAGAATATATAAATATATACTTATATATTTTATAATTATATATACATTTATAATTATCCAATACAGGAGCACCCAGATTCATAAAGCAAGTTCTTAGAGACATACAAAGAGACTTAGACTCCCACATAATAATAGTGGGAGACTTCAACGCCCTACTGTCAATATTAGACAGATCAATGAGACAGAAAATTAACAAGGATATCCAGGACTTGAACTCAGCCTTGGACCAAGTAGACCTAACAGACATCTACAGAACTCTCCACCTCAAATCAACAGAATATACATTCTTCTTGGCACCACATCACACTTATTCTAAAACTGACCACATAATTGGAAGTAAAACACTCCTCAGCAAATGCAAAAGAATGGAAATCATAACAGTCTCTCAGACTACAGCGCAATCAAATTAGAACTCAGGATTAAGAAACTCACTCAAAACCGCACAACTACATGGAAACTGAACAACCTGCTCCTGAATGAATGCTGGGTAAACAACGAAATGAAGACAGAAATAAAGATGTTCTTTGAAACCAATGAGAACAAAGACACAATGTACCAGGATCTCTGGGACACAGTTAAAGCAATGTGTAGAGGGAAATTTATAGCACTAAATGCCCACAAGAGAAAGCAGGAAAGATCTAAAATCGATATCCTAACATCACAATTAAAAGAACTAGAGAAGCAAGAGCAAACAAATTCAAAAGCTAGCAGAACACAAGAAATAACTAAGATCATAGCAGAACTGAAGGAGATAGAGACATAAAAAAACCCTTCGAAAATCAATGAATCCAGGAGCTGGTTTTTCGAAAAGATGAACAAAATAGATAGATCACTAGCCAGACTAATAAAGAAGAAAAAGAGAGAAGAATCAAATGGATGCAATAAAAAATGATAAAGGAGATAATCAGATATCACCACTGATCCCACAGAAAGACAAACTACCTACAAAGAATACTATAAACACTTCTAAGCAAATAAACTAGAAAATCTAGAAGAAATGGATAAATTCCTGGACACATACACCCTTGCAAGACTAAACCAGGAAGAAGTCAAATCCCTGAATAGTCCAATAACAAGTTCTGAAATTGAGGCAGCAATTAATAGCCTACCAACCAAAAAAAGTCCAGGACCAAACAGATTCACAGCCGAATTCTACCAGAGGTACAAAGAGGAGCTGGTACCATTCCTTCTGAAACTATTCCAAATAACAGAAAAAGAGGGAATGATCCCTAACTCATTTTATGAGGCCAGCATCATCCTGATACCAAAACCTGGCAGAGACACAACAAAAAAAGAAAATTTCAGGCCAATATCCCTGATGAACATCAATACAAAAATTCTTAATAAAATACTGGCAAACAGAATCCAGCAGCACATCAAAAAGTTTATCCACCATGAACAAGTTGGCTTTATCCCTGGGATGCAAGGATGGTTCAACATATGCAAATCAATAAATGTAATCACATAAACAGAACTAATGACAAAAGCCACATGATTTTCTCAATAGATGCAGAAAAGGCCTTCAAAAAATTCAACAGCCCTTCATGTTAAAAACTATCAATAAACTAGGCATTGACGGAACGTATCTTAAAATAATAAGAGCTATTTATGACAAACCCACAGTCAATAACATACTGAATGGGCAAAAACTGGAAGCATTCCCTTTGAAAATCAGCACAAGACAAGGATGCCCTCTCTCACCACTCCTATTCAACCATAGTATAGGAAGTTCTGGCCAGGACAATCAAGCAAGAGACAGAAATAAAGGGTATTCAATTAGGAAAAGAGGAAGTCAAATTGTCTCTGTTTGCAGATGACGTGATTGTGTATTTAGAAAACCCCATCGTCTCAGTCCAAAATCTCCTTAAGCTGATAAGCAACTTCAACAAATCTCAAGATACAAAATCAGTGTGCAAAAATCACAAGCATTCCTACACACTAATAATAGACAAGCAGAGAGCCAAATCATGAGTGAACTCCCATTCACAACTGCTACAAAGAGAATAAAATATCTAGGAATACAACTTATACAGGATGTGAAGGACCTCTTCAAGCAGAAACACAAACCACTGCTCAAGGAAATAAAAGAGGACACAAATGGAAAAACATTCCATGCTCATGGATAGGAAGAATCAATATCATCAAAATGGCCATACTGACCAAAGTAATTTATAGATTCAATGCTATCCCGATCAAGCTACCATTGACTTTCTTCACAGAATTGGAAAAAACTACTTTAAATTTCATATGGAACCAAAAAAGAGCCCACAGAGCCAAGACAATACTAAGCAAAAAGAACAAAGCTGGAGGCATCACATTACCTGACTTTATACTACAAGGCTACAGTAAAAATAATAATAATAATAATAATAATAATCATGGTACTGGTACCAAAACAGATATATAGACCAATGGAACAGAAGAGAGGCCTCATAAATAATGCCACATGTCTACAACCATCTGATCTTTGACAAACCTGACAAAAAGAAGAAATGGGGAAAGGATTCCCTATTTAATAAATGGTGTTGCAAAAACTGGCTAGCCATATGCAGAAAGCTGAAACTGGATCCCTTCCTTACACCTTATACAAAAATTAACTCAAGAGGGATTAAAGACTTAAATGTAAGACCTAAAACCATAAAAACCCTAGAAGAAAAACCTAGGCAATACAATTCAGGACATAGGCATGAGCAAAGACTTCATGACTAAAACACCAAAAGCAATGGCAACGAAAGCCAAAATTGACAAACGGGATCTGATTAAACTAAAGAGCTTCTGCACAGCAAAAGAAACTATCATCAGAGTGAACAGGCAACCTATAGAATGGGTGGAAATTTTTGCAATCTATCCATCTGACAAAGGGCTAATATCCAGAATCTACAAATAACTTAAATAAATTTACAAGAAAAAAACCCCATCAAAAAGTGGGTGAAGGATATGAACAGACATTTCTCAGAAGAAGATATTTATGCAGCCAACACACATATGAAAAAAAGCTCATCATCACTGGTCATTAGAGAAATGCAAATCAAAACCACAATGTGATACCATCTCACGCCAGTTAGAATGGCAATCATTAAAAAGTCAGGAAACTACAGATGCTGGAGAGGATGTGGAGAAATAGGAACACTTTTACACTGTTGGTGGGAGTATAAATTAGTTCAACCATTGTGGAAGATAGTGTGGCAATTCCTCAAGGATCTAGAACTAGAAATACCATTTGACTCAGCAATCCCATTACTGGGTATATACCCAAAGGGTTATAAATCATGCTACTATAAAGACACATGCACATGTATGTTTATTGCGGCACTGTTCACAATAGCAAAGACGTGGAACCAACCCAAATGCCCATCAATGATAGACTGGATAAAGAAAATGTGGCACATATACACCATAGAATACTATACAGCTATAAAAAAAGGATGAGTTCATGTCCTTTGCAGGGACATGGGTGATGCTGGACACCATCATTCTCAGCAAACTAACACAAGAACAGAAAACCAAACACCACATGTTCTCACTAATAACTGGGAGTTTAACAATGAGAACACATGGACACAGGGAGGGGAACATCACATATTGCGGCTTGTAGGCGAGTGGGGGGCTAGGGGAGGGATAGCATTAGGAGAAATACCTATTGTAGATGATGGGTTGATGGGTGCAGCAAGCCACCATGGCAAGTGTATACCTATGTAACAAACCTGCACATTCTGCACATGTACCTCAGAACTTAAAGTATAGTAATAATTAAAAAAACAAAACAGGAAAAAAAAGTGGCTGGGTGTAGCATGATTATTTCACAGGAGCAATTACAAGTTTGACAGTTTACAAACCATAGATGTGAAGATACAGTGAATTGCTATCTTAAAAGTACTAAATATATATGTAATTCCCATATTAGAATACATTACTCACTTAGGGAAGTTATCATTCAAAAATGAAGGAAAAATAGACATTTTTGATGAACTTTAAAAAGACAATTTGTCACAGAAAACATACACCAAAATAATTAACTAAAGGGTAGCCTTTGAGAAGAAAAATGGTCCCAGATGAAAGCACAGAGATGCAAAAAGGAATAGCAATGAAAATTTATATATGTGGGTGAATATAAAATTATATTGACTATATAAAGTCACAGTAACAATATCTTGTTGGAGTTAAAACATATAATGACAAAATATGACAAAAGAGCATATACATTTGGGGGTGGTAATTTAGAGATATAATATTCTAAGATAGTGCTACTAAAAGCACCAGTCCACAGCAAATTAAGGAACTAGCTCCAAAATATAAATTGATGCACTACTTCTTTCATTTAGAAAATATTATTTTTTAAAAAACAAATGTCAGCTGAAATAAACATATACTTAGTGATATAGTTGATTTACATTCTGGTACCACCTTCTTAGTTCATTGAAAATTGGAAAGTTTGTGAACCAGCTGCTGATCCAAGAACCATGGTTTGCTATTCTAAGATTCTTGCATTATTTGGTATGAGGAAAAAGTACTAATATGTATTAGACTTTGGTAAGTCAAGAAGCATAATATAATTTCTAGGATTACCAATGGAAGAATAATGAAATAATGTTTAACTTGGGATAATAGAAAGTAATCCAAAGACAAAGGAAGGAGAAAGAAAAAAGAACATAGAATAGGTAGGGAAAATAAAAAGCAAATAGTAAGATAGTAGGTTGAGGTCCAAATATATCATAATTTCCTTCAATGTAAATAAACGAAATACTTCAGTTAAAAGACAAAGGTTGACAGGCTGGATTTCCAAAGGAATATACACCCTGCTTAAAGAAACATATTTAAATATAATACAGAAAGGTCAGAAGTAAGAGAATAGAAAAAGATATATCATAAAAACACTAACCAAAAGAAAGCTGTGATAGTTATATTGCTCAGATAAATAAGACTTTAGAGCAAAAAACATTATTAAAGAACATTCCATAATAATAAAAAGGTCAATACATGAGGAAAATATAACTGTTAAATTTGCTTATATTTTATAGTGTAGCTTCAAAATACATAAAGCAAAAAATACAGAAAGAGAATGTTCAAATTCACAATTACAAAGGAAAACATGCCTCTCTTATAGCGAGAACAAGCAGTCAAAAAAAAGAAGAGTACAGAAGATCTAAACAACATGATTAAATTTTCCATGGTTAACATATATAGAGAACACTGCACTTAATGACTGCAGAATACATTTTTTTTCAAAAACACACTAAACATTTACCTAAATTGCCATATTTCAAGCCATAAACCAGTCTCGATATAGTTTCAAAAATCAAAATTATATCAGAGTATGTTCTTTGGCTTCAGTGGAATTAAGCTGAATTACAATCCCTATGTTTGTATATTAAGAAGTAAACTTCTAAATACTGATAGGCCAAAGAAGAAATCACAGAAGAAATGATATAACCAATATTAACCAAACAATTATATGTGTGTGTGTTTATGTATGTGTATATATGTGTGTGTATATATATGTGGGTGTGTTTATATATATATAAAGAGGAAGCATTTCTATGTTAGGAAATGGAGTACGTTCACAGAAGGTGATGATCTAATCAGAGGTGGATTCTTGCTTGGCTACCTTTGCAAGAGGGACATGCAGAATTTGGGGATGAAAGTGAGGGTGTGACTCCATGGTACCTTCTGGAAGATGGTGTTACCCAACCTGTTTTATATTACATTAGAAGGAAGGCTGAAAATCAATGCACTAAATATCCACTTCAGGAAGTTAGAAAAAGAACAGAAAATTGGGCCCAAAGAAATGAGAAAGAAGAAAATTATAAAAATTCGAGCATATGTTAATGAAAAAGTAAACAGACAGAAAATAGAGGGGACCAGCAAAGAAAACAGAAGGCTTATCAAAAAGACTAACATGGTGATAAACTCTTTAAAGAGAAGACAAAAACAATCAATATCAGAAATGAAAAGGGGGGCATCACTATAGATCATACAAACATTGAAAGGATAATGAGAAGATAATACAAAAAAACCCCTAAATGCCATAAAACATACACACAACTTAGCAAAACTAAAATTAAAGATTAATTTACTATTTAACACCTTCCCACAAAGAAAACTTTAAGCCCTGATGGCTTCCTTGTGAATTCTACAAAATATTTTGAGAAAAAAATAATGCCATGACTGTTCTCTTCTCTATTTCATCCCAGAGCCTGGTACACAGTATAGCATTAAATAAATCATTGTTGAAATAATGAGTGAATGAATAAATGAATGAAATATGTGAATGCTTCATATATTCCAAGTACACTAAAAGTATGTACAGCTTTTTAAGTAAATTCCTTCCTATGTGCATATTTAAACAACAGGCATAAAAGCAACCAAAGGCAATACATCAAGAGTTAAAAGCTTTTATTCAGCTACAAATACAGTTTCCTAGCTAAGTCAAGTTAAAAACCTCCCTTTTCAATGGTAAGCAAATAATGTTCCTAAAATAAAACAAAATGTGCAGCCAGTGATATTTATTTACAAATGCCCTACGACCACCTTCTAAGAAATGCTAAATGATGACAGAACTTCAGAAAGCACCAGTAGAGCCAACATGTTTCTGTTTAAAATATTATCTTCATGTGATGACCCCAGCAAAACAATCTGTATTAGTCTTACAACTAATCTCTAACTTCAGAGTGATACAAAATTAATTTGGTTATGCCCTTGACCTTGTTTTTTTTTTCTACCTACAAAGATATCTACTGCTATGTGAATATAGACTCTATAGGGATCCCATTTCCTTGATACAATTTATTGATGGCATCAACTCCCTCATTATCCCATAAAGAGTGGAAATAAATATTTTCTGTTTCTTCAAAGTTTAAAAGACATGGCCAGACTTTGTACTATGATTGGAATCAGGTCAAAGTCAATGCTCTTTCTAGGATTAAACCAAAATCAAAGTCATCAGTTGATAATCTGATACACAAAGGTAAAGTAGTCTGGTAGGTAGGAGAGAAGAAGCTTCCACTGTCTGTGTCCTTACTTGAAGAAAACAAGAAGAGTCCAAATAAACATCAGGACACTTAAGAGTTCTAGAAGCAATCAGAACTGGTGAGGCAACAAGGGTTTTATACTCTCATGGTATTGAGTTCAAACCCCAGCTCTGCAACATTCAAGTTGTGTGACCCTAGCAAGTCTCCAAAACTCACTCAGCTTCAATTTCTTCATCCGTAGAAGGAGGATATCATCGCCACCTCAAAAGTTTCCTGTGAGAAATTACAGATTATCTATAGAAATTACCTGGCACACAGTAGGAGCTTAATAAACGTTAGTTATTCAGTGTAATAGACATTGGTGGCCTTTCTTCTATTCCTCCTTTGTAAAAATGAATTTTAAAGCAGAGAATCGGAACTAGCAAAGGGCATTCTTAAATACTAACATTCCTCCTGGGCATGTGTAACATGACACCTAACCAGGACATCTAACACCCGTCAAAAATGAAACATGAGTTAGATAGAAACATGACTTTATTATCTCACATTCCCAGATTAGCATTATGTAATAAACCAAGTGATATCAGAATAATTACACAGATTAATTATTACCCAGGACAATTTTTGGAACCACATGGGAAAGAAACATAAAGGAGAAGGGAGGAGAAGAGAAGGGGAGAGGAAGGGAAGACTTAGGAAGATAAGGAAAAACTAACCAACTGCATCAGGATTGAAATTTGCTTACAGAAAACAATATGGGACTATTTTCTCCTTTCGGCTATATTTCTTATAAAGGCAAAGATCATGTCTCCTATGCTCACTTCTGCATGCCCAGTAGCTACTAGAGTTCACTCTGCAACCAAGAACTCAACAACACAAAGGACTGATTTTATTTAATAAGTACTTGAAACTGGAATTCCAGATAGGAGTGTCCCTTGGTTTGCACCTACCGGCTGTCACTTAACCATCTCTCTCACCCCACAAGAAGACCTTTTCAAATAAATGATTTGAGAGTACTGAAGGATGGCCTCAATTTCAGCTCTCACTCTGCCCGTGTTCTCAGTTGCCTTGTAATACAATTTCTGGTGCTAGATATTATAATGCAAAAAATCTGTTTAGATACTCTAAGGTATATGCAACAAAACAAAGATAGAGCTGAGCAGTTAGAAATCAGTCAATATAGTGTCTGCTCTTATTATTGAGAGATGTCTAATCTCATTAATCAGTTTCAGTAGAGAATGAGAGGCATGTAGTAAAATTTAATACAGACTATATATATATATATATATATATATATATATATATATATATATATATAACCCCAAAGACCCATTGATCAAGAATATAAAGATCAACCACTTGTTTTGTTAGGTAATTAACTTACTGTTCCTCATGGCTCCTTCTCAGCCTTAGATATATATATATATCTTATATATATCATATATACATCTTATATATATATCATACATATATATAGAGAGAGAGAGAGAGAGAGCAATAACCCTATCTGTCTGTCTATCTATCTAGGGTTAGGATAAGTTAGCAACAGATAGGGTAATGTTGCAATAATCAATTTCAACACGTTTACCTATCAATAATTATGACTCATCAAACATTATAAGAATATCTATTTTTGGTATATTGATTATTAGCATTTTTAATCTATGAAAAACATGCCAAATGCCTTATTAAATATAGAAAGGCTATAGAAACTTCCCCTGATTGAATTTTGGGATGTTGATATAAACCACTAGATTTACGTTTGGGGACATTTTTTTTTTTTTTTTTTTTTTGAGACGGAGTCTCGCTCTGTCGCCCAGGCTGGAGTGCAGTGGCGGGATCTCGGCTCACTGCAAGCTCCGCCTCCCGGGTTCACCCCATTCTCCTGCCTCAGCCTCCCAAGTAGCTGGGACTACAGGCGCCCGCCACTACGCCCGGCTAATTTTTTGTATTTTTAGTAGAGACGGGGTTTCACCGTTTTAGCCGGGATGGTCTCGATCTCCTGACCTCGTGATCCGCCCGCCTCGGCCTCCCAAAGTGCTGGGATTACAGGCATGAGCCACCGCGCCCGGCCTTGGGGACATTTTTTAAAATGATTTGCATAAATCCACTGCTACCAAAACATAGATCTGTAGGATTAAACTTAACTATATATGTAAAAGGGTTTTGCAAACATTTGAGCCTATGTATAATGACATTATTTTTCCTTTCTTACCCAGTTTTTGTGTAATATGTAACCAAATTACCTTTCTATCCTTACCTGCTTTTCTAACAGAGGCAAGATTTTTTTCTCTTTCCTTCGTAAACTAATGAGAATGTGGAAAGCAATCTCATCTCATCAGAAGCCACCATATTTCAGAAATGAAGTGATTGATGGGTGGTAATTACATCACAAAAAGTTTATACATCATTTGGGCATCATTTTGGAAAAAAGGTATAGTATGTTACTGCTGTTATTAAACCCCGAAGACCCGTTGATCGAGAATATAAAGATCAACCACTTGTTTTGTTAGGTAATTAACTTACTGTTCCTCATGGCTCCCTCTCAGCCTTAGAATGATCCCATTTCTCACTGGCAAAAAGAGTCCCCAACAAGATATTGAAAAAGGCTACTGAAAGGTGATGTCAATTAACAGCTAAAAGTAATTGTCATTTTGTAATCACATTAATATCTAATTTGCTGCCACTAGATTGTTAAAGTGCCAATTACACACCTCTGCCTTAATGTATTCATAAAAAAGCAATCATGCATTTATTGCCTTTATAATTCCTGAGATAATTATACAACAGGCTGAAGGTATATTTCTTCTGTGATTCAGCAGACTTAGCAACCACATTGACAGCTCGAATGGTTAGGAAATTAACATACCAGAACTGACTCATTAGAGCTAAAACCAAATATTCTCAGATACTTTATATAAAGTCCCACAGGGCCATTCCACGAATGAAATTGTGAGAAAGTGAGAGTTTGCCTCTGTGAGAAAGTTTATTCCTTCTTTCTCCTTTCTTTTCCAGGTACGAGTCAAATAGAAAAAAAATCTTATTTAGGAACAAGAAAATGATTTGCAGGTTGATTTACAGGTCACATGTTCTTGAGTGGGCATGTGGTCCCAGAAAGGCTGCATTTCTAGGCTACCAAAGAATCTGTTTTATCTTAAGTAAGTTGCATCCCTGCTTGAGGAAAGGTTGAAGAAGCATGAAGAAGGAAGCTAGAAGGGCTGAAGTTGCAATCTGGACATAATGTTTTTAGGGTATATTTTCATTGTGGTGCTTGAAACTATACCTAAAAACATTAAGAAAAGATTATAAGTCTTTTCTTTACTATCCACTCAACAGATAAATAGAAATGATTTAAGGAATCTCTTGGATTTTTTGTCCTCTGTACTTTATATATAAATAAATGAGTTTCAACTTGGGGAAGTTTCCTTTCTTATCACTAAGTTACGGCACTGCATGTCTTTTTGTCTTCTCTTCTCCATGTTTGTCCCCATTAAGACTGAAGTGGTAGTGTTAAGTGATCCTCGGAACCTCACATATAGCAGGAGAAAGATACTCCAGTATATTGCAGTATTCACTCTCTTCTCTCATGTAGGATTCTGCACAAGTTGCTTCTCAGCTATCACAGTTCCACTCATATTTCTTGATTCTTCACATTGTTTTAATTGGAGGTTGGCAAACTACAGCCCACAGGCCAATCCGACCCACCTCCCATTTTTATAAATAGTTTTATTAGAACACAGCTGTATTAGTCTGATCTCACAATGCTATGAAGAAATACCCAAGACTGGATAATTTATAAAGGAAAGAGGTTTAATTGACTCACAGTTCCACATTGCTAGGGAAGCCTCAGGAAATTTACAATCATAGTGGAAGGCAAAGGAGAAGCAGGCATTCTTCACAGGGTGGCAGGACAACATGAGTGCAAGCAGGGGAAATACCAGATGCTTATATAACTATCAGATCTTCTGAGAACTCACTATCAAGAGAACAGCATGAGGGAAACTGCCCCCATGATCCAATTACCTCCACCTGGTCCCGCCCTTGACATAAGGGGGTTATGGGGATTACAGTTTGAGGTGAGATATGGGTGGGGAAACAGAGCCAAACCATATCAACGGCCATGCCCATTTGTTTGCATATTATCTATGCCTTCCTTCATCCTACAACAGCAGAGTTGAGTGAGTTGCAAAAAAGACAATATGGCCTACAAGGCTAAAATATTTACTGTCTGGCCCCTTTCAGAAAAAGTTTGTTAGTTCCTGCTCTAGAGTGGTTTTCTTCATCTGAATTGTTGCAAAGTGTTCTTCTCTAAAATAACAACCTTTATTTTTACCTTGCTTAATGTTTGCCTTTTCTTCTCTTTAGATTGTTATTTCTAAATTATAGCCTCTTCTTTAACTTATGAAATTTAACTCACTGCAACATTTCATCCACACGCTCCCCTATGACTTTGAGAAAAGTCCCCCCAAGGAAAGTTTATCACAAAGCACTTGAAAATATTTTCTTTTGGTCTATAGCCTGATAAGGAATCACCCTCTGAGTGGATCTAAAAAGTTCATTCATGCCATCATGCAATAGACATTTAATAAAGGTCCATACTATGTGTCAACCCTTTTCTAGGTACTAAGATGCAGAAATTAATTTAAAAAGATGCAATCCTTCCCCACCCAGAAATTCAGTCTGGCATGAAAGACCTCATATGCTTCAGGCTAGTATTATTATTGCAATTGTTTAACAAACATTTTTATTGTTACATAACAAAAAATGTTTTAAGAGCTTCAAGTGCATTAACTTATTTAATCCTCATAAGAACACTATGAGGCTCTTTTTAATCCCCCTTTAGATAAAGGAGCTGAGGTGGGGATAAGGGAATATCAAAGTAAGGCAGGACTATAGCAGAGGTTTAGTAATTTGTCCAAAGGCAAACATTTATAAAGCAGCAGAGCTGGGATTTAAACCCAAGCAATCCAGCTCTGAAGTCCAAACTTTTAACTACTTTTTCAGTACTAGCTTTTATTTTCATTTCCCATAACCTGAGAGTAAACACTGCTCCCACATAGGTCATCCCTGAATTCCCATCACACGACATGTGGAGTATCTGAGTTATGCTGTGTAGATTCACCCTCACTTCCCAACAGCAGCCTGCTTTGCTTTGCAGGAAGATAGTGTAAGGTCTGGTGATCTGGGGATATTCTGATTTCCCAGATAATGACTCTTTTATCAGACTAAGAGCTCTTAAAAAAAAAAAAAAGCCAGGCGTAGTGGTTCACGCTTGTAATCCCAGCACTTCGGGAGGCTGAGGCAGGAGGATCACCTGAGGTCGGGACTTTGATACTAGCCTGACCAACATGGAGAAACCCCGTCTCTACTAAAAATACAAAATTAGCTGGGCGTGATGGCACATGCCTCTAACCCCAGCTACTCGGGAGGCTGAGGCAGGAAAATCGCTTGAACCCCGGAGGCAGAGGTTGTGGTGAGCCGAGATCACACCATTGCACTCCAGCCTGGGCAACAAGAGAGAAACTCCGTCTCAAAAAAAAAAAAAAAAAAAGTTTTTAACTCCCCTGTAGGGAGGGGCTGAAGAGTATTATATTTTATAAAAACTGACAGCAGCTACTTCTGACTGAAACTGAAAGGACAGAAAAAGATATTTCATGCAACTGGTAACCAAAAGAGAGCAAGGATAGCCGTCTAGACTTATATCAGACAAAACAGACTTTAAGTTAAAAAGAGGCAAATGCCATTATACAATGATAAAAGGGTCAATTCATCTGGAATATACAGCAATTATAATTATATATGCACCAAACATCAGAACACCCAAATATATAAAGCAAACATTGACAAAACTGAAGGGAGAAATAAAATAGTGACATAATAATTGTAAAGGATTCAATACTTATTTTCAAAAATGAAAAGAACATTCAGATAGAAGATCAGTAAGAAAACAGAGGATTTGAATACTACTGTTGGCCAAATAGACCTAATAGACTACACAAACTCTCCACCCAACAGCAACAGAATATACATTCTTCTCAAGCATACATCTAACACTCCCTAGTGTTCCATGTATGGAACTTATAGATCATAAGTTAGATCACAAAACAAGTCAACAAATTTAATAAGATTGAAATCATAACAAGTATATATTCTAAACACAATGGAATGGAACTAAAATTTAATGGCTGAAGGAAATATGAAAAAATCACAAATACATAGAAATTAAACAACATATACTTGAATAACCAACTGGTCAAAGAAGAAATCAAATGGGAAATTGGAAAATACCTTGAGGTAAATGAAAATAAAAATACCACATACCAAAACTTATGGGATGCAGCAAAAGCAGCATTAAAAGGAAATTTTATAGTTATAAACACCTACATTAGAAAAGAAAAATGATCTCAAATAAGCAATCTAATTTTGCACCTCAAGTAACAAGATAAAGAAAAAACTAAGCCTAAAGGTAAGTGACGAAAGGAAATAATAAGATTAGAGCAAAGTAAAAGAAATAGAGAATAGAAAATCAATTTTTAAAAAATCTATAAAACTAAGAGTTGGCATTTTGAAAAAACCTGCAAAACTGAAAAACCATTAACTGGATTAACTATAAAAAAAGAGAGAAGACTTACGCAAATAAAATCGGAAAAGAAGGAAGAGACATTACAATTTATGCCACAGAAATAAAAAAGAGTATAAACTTCTATTAACAATTATATGCCAATAAATGGACAATCTATAAATATTAAATAACTGCCTAGAAATATAAACCTTGTACTTCCTGATTTCAGAACATATTACAAAAGCTACAGTAATCAAAACAGTATGGTACTGGCATACAGGCAGACATTTAAATCAATGGAACAGAATAGAGAGGCCAGAAAGAAACCCACACATATACAGTCAAATGATCTTTGATGGGGTGCCAAGACTACACAATGAGGTAAAAATAGTCTCTTCAATAAATTGTGTTTGGAAAACTAAATTACTACATGCAAAATAATAAAATTTGACCCTTATCTTACACCATACACAAAAATCAACTCGAATGAAAGTCCTAAACATAAGATCTGAAACTATAAAACTCCTAGAAGAAAAGGTAGAGGGAAAAGCTCCTTAACATTGGTCTTGGCAATTATTTCTTGGATATGACACCAAAAGCACAGACAACCAACGCAAAAATAGACAAAACGGATTATATCAAACTAAAAAGCTTTTGCAATAGCAAAGGAAACAAATAACAGTAAAGAGGCAATGCACGGAATGGGAAAAAAATATTTGGAAACCATATATCTGATAATGGGCTCAAATTTCAAATATAGCTAGAGGCAGAGCAAGATGGTGGAGAATGACTCTCCTGCAAGCATTCCCTGACAGAAATATTAATTTGAACGATTATCCATGCATAAAAATATCTTCAAAAGAGCTAACAATAAAAGATGCACTGAAGAGGGTAAAAAGATCAGTTTTACATTACACGCATCACCCCTCCCCAACAGCACAGCATGGAAAGAATATCATTCACTTGGAGAAAAGTGAAAGAAGTAAACACAAAACATTGCCTTGGACCTCAACACTTAGGCCAATTTCAGTGATGCCAGGCTCCACAGAGTCCTCAGCATCAGGCAGCCCTCAGAGGTCTCAAACTTCTGGTACGCCTCAATGTTATGCCAGCCACACCTGCCCTGGACTTCTGGTGCACCCCAGAACCACACTTGCCACAGGGAATTCCCAAACAAAGCCAGTCTCTAAACACTGGAATAAGTACCTACTTCATCAACTACACACACATTAATGCACAACCACAATGATCAAGAACAATCAGGGAAACATGACATCACCAAACGGACAAAATAAGGTACCAGTGAATGACCCTAAAGAAATGCAGATGTGTGAACTGCCTGACAAAGAAACCAAAATAACTGTTTTAAGGAAGCTCAGGGAGCTTCAAGAATATATGAAGAAACAACTTAATGAAATGAGAAAAATATTAAATGACCAGAATCAGAAATTTAATAGAGAGATTGAAATAACAACAACAACAAAAAACTAACAGAAATTCCAGAGCTGAAAAAAAAAATACAATGAACCAAATGAAAATGCAATAGAGATTATCAACAGCAAATAATCGAGCAGAAGAAAGAACCTATGAACTTCAAAACAGGATATTTGAAAATATACAGTCAGACAAGAAAAAATAATAAAAAGAAATGAGGAAATGAGGAAAGCTTCCTAAGACTTAGGGGACAGTGTCAAAAGAGCAAATAGTCAAGTCATAGGAGTTAAAAAAGTAGAAGAAAAAGATAAGGGATAGAAAATTTATTTAAAGAAATAGTAGCAGAAAGCTTTTCAAACCTAAAGAAGTATGTAAATATCTAGTTATGCAAATATTAAAGGTTTCCATTAGATTCAATTCTAATAACTATCACAAGACATATTATAATCAAACTGCCAAAAAACAAAGACAAAGAGAGGACCCTGAAAGCAGCAAGAGAAAAGAAACAAATAACATGTAAAGGAGGTCCAATATAGCTAGCAGCCCACTGCTCAGCAGAAATCTTACAGGCCAGGAGAAAGTAGGACGATACATTCAAAGTGCTGAATGGGGAAAATAAAAAAACCCCTAACCAAGAATACTCTACCCAACAACTCTGCCCTTCAAAATGAAGTAGAGATAAACACTTTCCCAGACAAACAAAAGCTAAAGGAGTTCATCACCACCATATCTGTCTTACAAGAAATGCTAAAGAGAGTTCTTCAAGCTAAAGAAAAGGACACAAATAAGTAACACAAAAACATATGAAAGTATAAAACTCATGGTAAAATATGCAGTCAAATTAAGAAAAACCCATACTGTAATGGTGGTATGTAAATCATTTATATCTTTGTTATGAAGGTGAAAAGACAAAACTATTAATAATAAATACAATAACTTGTTAAGGATATGCAATATATAAAAAGATGTAAATTATGACACCAAAAATTCATAGGTAATGGGAGCAGTGGAGTGAAAACATAGAGAGTTTTGTGTGTGTGTGATCAAAGTTAATTATCATCTTAAAATAACCTGTTATAACTTCAAGGTGCTTTCTTGTAAGCCTCATGTTAAGCAAAACATATATCAGATGCCCAAAAATTTAAAATCAATGAATAAAAGCATACCACTAGAGAAAATCACTTAGCCACAAAGAAAGACTGTGTGAGAAAAAGAAACAAAGGATATACAAAACAACTATAAAACAATTTAACAAAATGGTAGTATTAAGTCCTTACCTATCAATATTACTTTGCATATAAATGAATTAAATTATCTAATCAAAAGAAAGAGTGGTTGAATGGATAAAAAAACAAGACCCAATTATATGCTGCCTACAAGAGCTTCACTTCACCTCTAAGGACACACATACTGAAATTGAAAAGAAGGAAAAAGATATTCCATGCAAACGGAAATCCAAAGAAAGCAGAAGTAGCTATACTTAGATCAGATAAAATAGTTTTTAAATAAAAAACTGTAAAAATAGACAAAGGTCATTACATAATGAAAAACTGGCTCAATGAAAGGACATAATAACTGTATATGTATATGCACCCAAAATTGAAATACTTAAATATATAAAACAAATATTATTACATCTGAAGGGAGAGATAGAATGCAATACAATAATAGTAGGGGACTTTCAGCAGTGGACAGATCATCTAGACAGACAATCAGTAAGGAAACATTAGACTTAAACTAAATTTTAAATCAAATAGTCTTATCAGACATATACTGAACATTCCATCCAACAGCTACAGAATATACAATCTTCTTAACTTCACATGGAACGTTCTCCAGGATAGATCATATGTTAGGCTACAAAACAATTCTTAACAAATTTAAGAAGATTGAAATTGTATCATGTATCTTTTCTGATCGCAATGGTATAAAACTAGAAAGCAATAACAGGAAGAACTTTAGAAAATTCACAAATACATGGAATTTAAACAACATACTCCTGAACAGCCAATGGGGGTCAATGAAGAAATTAAAAGGGAATTAAAAATTATTGAGATAACCAAAATGGAAACAACATATCAAAACCTAAGGAAACAGCAAAAGCAATTCTAAGAAGGAAGCTTATAGCAATAAACGCCTACATCGAAAAAGAAGAAAGATTTCAAATTTAAAAATCGAATATTACACCTGAAGGAACCAGAAAAGAAAGAATGAACTAAGCCCAAAGTCAGTAGAAGGAAGGAAATAATTTAGAATCAATCTAGGTGCCCTTCAACAGATGAATAAATACAATGTAGTACATATACACAATGGAAGACTATTCAGCCATAGAAAATGAAAATCCTGTCACTTATGACTACATGGATAAACCTGGTGGACATTATGTTACATGAAATAAGCCAGGCACAGAAAGACAAATACTGCATGATCTTATTCATATGTGCAATCTAAAAAAGTTGATCCCGCAGAAGTAGAGAACAGAATGGTGGTTACCAGGGGTTGAGGTGGTTGGGAGCAGAAGATTTGTGGAGATGTAGGTCAAGGGATACAAAATTTCAGTTAGAAAAAAGGGGTAAGGTTAACAGATCTATTGTACAATATGGTAACAACATTAACAACATTGTATTCTTGAAAAATGCTAAGAGAATGAATGTAAAGTGAAAGTGTTCTCACTAAAAAATGATAATTATGTGAGATAACGTATATGTTAATTAGCTAGATTTTAGTCATTTCACAATGTATACATACTTCAAAACATCATGTTGTACATGGTAAATAAATATAATTTAATCTGTCAATTTAAATATATACACATATATATACACACACATATATATACACACATGCACACACACACAAACACGCACAGATGGCTCCTGACTTACGACAGTTTGACTGATGATTTTTTGACTTTATGATGGTGCAGAAGTGATATGCATTCAGTAGAAACTGTATGTCAAGTACCCACCCATCCGTTTTTTTTTCACTCTCCGTACAATATTCAATAAATTATATGAGATATTCAACACTTCATTATAAAATAGGCTTTGTATTAGATGATTTTGCCTAACTGTAAGCTAACGTAAGTGTTCTGAATGTGTTTAAGGTAGGCTAGGCTATGGTATGATGTTCTGTAGGTTAAGTGCATTGAATGCATTTTTTACCTATGATATTTCCAACTTATGATGGATTTATTGGGACATAACTCCATTGTTAAGTCAAGCAGCATGTGTGTGTGTGTGTGTGTGTGTGTGTGTGTGTATAAATTCAATAGCAAGTAAACGAATAACCCAATTTAAAAATGGGTGAAAGACTTAAATAGACATTTCTCCAAAGAAGACATATGAATGGCTAAAAGGTATATGAAAAGATGCTTAAAATCATTTAATCATCAGGGAAAGGCAAATCAAAACCACAGTGCAGTACGACCTCACACCTGGTAGGACAGCCATTATAAAAAAAAAAAAAACAGAAATTAACAAGTGCTGATGAGGATGTGGAAAAATTAGAACCCTTATGCATTGCCAGTGGTAATGTAATAATTAATATTCCATATTAATATTATTCCATATTATATACATGTAATATTCTATATTATAATAGAATATTATTCAGCCATAAGAAAGAATAAAATCCTGTCATATGCTACAACATTGATGAGCCTTCAGGACATTATTGTAAGTGAAATAAGTTGGCGACAGGAGGATAAATATTGCATGATTCCACTTACGTGAAGTTTCTAAAATAGTCAAACTCATAGAATCAGAAAATAGAAATCAGAAAATAGAAATCAGAAAATAGAATGGTGGTTGCCAGGGGCTGGACGGAGGCAGAAATGGGGTGTTGCTTCTTAATGGGTATGAAGTTTCAGTCATGCAAGATGAAAAAGTTCTAGAGATCTGCTGTACAACGTTGTGTTTATAATTAACAATACGGTACTATAAACTTTAAAATTGCTGAAGAGGGTAGATACCACGCAATGTGTTTCTTAACACAAAAAACAAAAATTACAGTAATATACAAATGATGTCTATTCACACCTAGTAGGATAGCTATCATCAAAATAATGGACAATAACAAGAGAGGAGGATGTAGAGAAAATGGAACTCTCATCCGTTGCTGATGGGAATGTAAAATGATAAGGCCACTTTAAAAAATAGTTTGGCAGTTCCTCAGAGAGTTAAATGCAGAGTTAAAATACAATCCAGCAATTCCACTCCTAGATATATATCCAAAAGAATTGAGAACATATATCAACACAAAAACTTGTACATGAATGTTTGTAGCAACATTTTTGACAATAGCCAAAAAGTAGAAATACCTCAAGTGTCCATCAGCTAATGAATGGATAAACAAATGTGGTATATCCATAAAATGAAATACTATTCATCAATGAAAAGGAATGGCCTACTGATTGATGCTACAACAGGATGAACCTTGAAAACATCATGCTAAGTGAAATAAACCAGACACAAAAGGCCACATATTGTATAATTCCATTTATATAAAATGTCCAGAACAGGCAAGCCTGTAGAGACAGAAAGTAGAATGGTAGTAGTAAGAGGTCAGGGAAGAGAGGAATGAGGAGTGACCATTAATAGGTATGGAGTTCCTTTTGTGGGGGTGATAAAAATGTTCTGGAACTAAATCATGATGATGGTTGCACAACTGTGTGACTATAGTAGAAACCACTTAATTGTAACTTAAAAGTGGAAATTTTATATGTGAATTATACCTTAATTTAAATATACATATATATACATATATGTGTGTATGCAAACTATATACATACATAGACACACACACTCATATGTTGTGTGTGTGTATATATGTATGTGTGTGTATATTGAGATGAGGCCTCACTATGTTGCCCAGGCTGGGGTACAGTGGCTATTCTCAGGAAAGATCATAGCACTCTACGCCTCAGACTCCTGAGCTCAAGTGATCCTCCTGCCTCAGCCTTTTGAGTAGCTGAGACTACAGGTGCAAGCTACCATGTCTGGCTAATAATAATATTTCTTAAAGCCCATTTTCACCCAATATAACTAGAGGAAGGTGACCCTTCCTGGAAAGGGAGTGAGACAGTTGGCAGGGGATAAGTTTACCTCACTCCTAGACAGAAACCCTAAAAAAAAAGAGTATGTTTCTAAGGCATTGATATCTGAAGTACTGCACCAATAAGCAATGTCATACAAGCAAGAAAGTAGTTTCATTCAGTTCTGATTGGAAAGAAAGGGAAAAGAATTTCCAAAAATATGTTATAGGCAGATTTTTTTCTTTCTTTTTTTTTTGTTTGCTTTTCAGAGTGGCTGGAGTTCAAAGGAGGTGTGTGTAGGATTCTCTGGCTGCAGAAGAGCCTTTAATCTCATAAGACTAGGAATGTGCTCAGAAAGAGCAGGCTGAGAGTGTACCTGGGACCTGAGAGCCTTCCCTGGCTAGGAGTCATCCCAGGAAAGTGGGCAGAGGGGCACAGCTCTGGGCAGGTCATGAGGTCAGGGAGGAGGAATTACGTGGGCAGAAGCTGCTCCTCCTCACCCGCTCCCATTGCCTTTCAGGAGCTGACATGAGACTTGCAGTTGATTCATGGATACTGCAGGCCACACAATTCGTGGATACTGCAGGCCACACAATTCGTGGATACTGCAGGCCACCTTGACGAGACTGTGCAGAGCCCATTTCTGTGATTTGGCTGGTAACTCGAGTAAAAAGGGGTGAAATAAGTGTCCCTCCCAGTTGTATCCCGTGACCCTCCAGTTTGGTTCTCTTTGCACTAGAATTTATTATCAAAAACATTATGTTAAAACTGTTTACATGTTAGGGAATGCCATGTTTAACAAAATGTGTTTTCTCTGGTTTCTGTGTGGACACTAATGTCAAGCAACCTGACCTCTCTTGCCCTCCCAATAAAGTTAGTAAGTCCCCACTGAGATGGTCTTTGCCAATGCAGGGATTGTGTAAATGGTGGCTCCCTGGCAGAGAAAAGAATGAAACACCAGACAAGTGGTTAGATTTGGCAGGCAGCTGGGCTCCCCCTGCTCAATAATATTTCCCACATACTTTCTACCTGGTGGAAATTTACTTTTTCCAACAGCAAGCTATTCTCTATTGAGGAAGGGCTTTGGTTATTAGCTGCCGTCACCTCTCTGACATTTGTTTTCATTTGATCACCAACTGATTAAACAGTCTCTGGGTTTAGGCCTGAGAAGCCAGAAGAGAAGAAAAAGAGACAACAAAGGAAGAAATAAGCACCTGAACAGATCAAAATTCCTGCTAAACTTGTGAGGCCAGTCAGGGACTGATGAGGCTTGAGATTTCATTCTTCTTAAATGTGTGGACATTGAAGGAAAGACAAGTTAGGGAGACAGGATAGCAGAAACGGTGGTCAGCAGGGCAGAGGTAGAAAATATGGATAAACCTCGGGAGACTTGGGAAGCAACCGCATTGGAAAAACCCAACTCTCTACTCCACTACCACCCAGAGCACAGGCTGGAGCCTTCTCTCCTTGTATAGGAAGAAAAAAAGGAGGCAGCTCAAGGGTACAACACCAGAATCCACAGTCTCTCAAACTCTTTTTCTGTAGAAAAAGGTTATCAGCTACTCCTGCCTCATCAACAGGAAAGAGCAACTCTCCCCATGGGCAGCCAGCAGCATAGGCTCTTATCTGTAGTTCAGCTAGAAAAACAGTGAGGTCCATTCCACCACCCTCCTCCTCCCCAGACAATAAACCCTCCCACCATAAGACACAAAAAGGAGAGATCTACCACATAGGTTCCAGCCCCCTGAGTTTGGACACCTCCAAAAACTACCTCGTGTTGATGTTGCAGGCTTTTGGCTCCAGTTCTGAAATCATATAATGCTGAGTTCAAACCTCTCCTCTTCTTCTAACATATAAATTGCCCTCTCTCTTAGCCTAAAAAACTTCTAAGAGGAGTTGCCAGGTAAGCATACGGAGGTATGGATTTGGAACTTAGAGGACTAGGCAGAAGATAAAAAGTTAAAAGTCAGTTGTTATTGGAGGTAATCAAAGCTGTGGCTTAGGTGAGATGGCCCAGAAGGAGCACAGAATGGTTGGATGCCCAAGTCTGTCAGGAAAAAATGTCAAAATCTTTCCTCAACTCAAAAATCTTTCCTTTACTCAAAAAATGAGTAAATGAGATTACTGAGAGTTCTGGGCTCTGTCTAGCAGACCCTCCAGGAGTGATTTGATTCTTTAAAGCTGGGCATCATTGATTGTCTTCCTATTGGCCAGGCTATTTCACTACTCTCTAGGGGTAGAAGTTAATTTGTAGAAAACTAATGGAAATGCAGATGACTGTTGTCCATAGCACTGTGAATAAATTTTGTTCCCACAGACATAAAATTTATTTTTACCTTGGGGTGAAAAAGATGACCCTGACCCCAAGCATTACATTTTATTTTTCTACAATATATTATCAATTTTGCATCTATGAGCAAATTCATTTCTGCATTCCTAAGTATACTTATGTGTGCCTTCAAATTTTCCTTTGACCTGATTTTAACATACTGGTTTCTTCACTAAATAATAAGTTACATAAAGCCTTTGATGTATTCCTTTTGTATTTGTGTGAGAGTCTTGATTTTACCTTCTTGAAAATTATACTTTAGCAGGACCAAGGCCTTAAGGATGGTCAACAGAATAGTCAGAGGAGCATGGCCTTGCAAAGGAGATGAGCTAAGAGCAGAAGCAGAACAAGAAGCAGGAGTGTTTGGGCACAAAAGTCAAGGTAAGTCAAGGAAAAAAGGAAGCTATCAACTAAATCCAAAAGGCATTTAATTAATTTCATCTTACTAGACCACACAACTGCAACAACAACAGCCCTCCATGCTGCCCTGCACCACCAATTCCTCATACAAGTTAAGAGGCAACCTTTTCTTTTTTTTCTTTTCTTTTTCTTTTTTTTTTTAATTTGAGACAGAGTCTCACTCTTCACCCAGGCTGGAGTGCAGTGGCGCCATCTCAGCTCACTGCAAGCTCCACCTCCCGGGTTCACACCATTCTCCTGCCTCAGCCTCCGGAGTAGCTGGGACTACAGGAACCCGCCACCACGCCCAGCTAATTTTTTGTGTTTTTAGTGGAGACCGGGTTTCACCGTGTTAGCCAGGATGGTCTTGATCTCCTGACCTCGTGATCCACCTGCCTCGGCCTCCCAAAGTGCTGGGATTACAGGCATGAGCCACCGCCCCCGGCCAAGAGGCAACCTTTTCTAAACCACTCAAAGCACAGGATGTCTTGTTCCAGCTTTCTCCTGGGACCAGGAGGCTTACTTATCTGACATTTACATAACCAAGGAAGCCTACTGAAGCCTTCTTTGAAGAACAAGGAACATTTACTTCAAAGTGATTCTCTATTCTCAACCTGATTGAATCAAATGGTACTGAAAAAACAAGAAGAAAAACCCCTCGAATTTAATCAAATTTAATTAAAAGTTTGTGCACCCCTTTTAATAGAGGATACATACCCTGCTACACTAACAACCTTAGAGATTGCCTCACTGCATTAACATCCATGAAGGCAATCAATTGGCAAATTTGATCATTCCCTTCGTTTCTAGCTCACAGATGGGAAAACTGAAAAGAATTGTGCAGCTGTGTCTGAAAGTATGTAAATTACTCAGCTCCCTCAAACTTGTTCTTGCTTTTTAAGTGAGCTTAAATCTGGATAAGCCCAACTTCCCCCTCTTTTTCCCATGTTCTGACCACCAGATAGATTGCATATATCATAGCAAACACCTTCTCCTGTCATTTTCCAACTGTGAGAACCTGTAGAAAGCAGGAGCAGAATGTGGAAAAAAATCATTAAAATCTGACAAATAGTTTTTTAAAAGCAAATCTTCCAGGTGTTGTTCTCTAACCTCAAAATGCATAAGCCAGAGGATTATGCTTGAAGATGCGCCTTTTTTTTTTTTTAATTCCCATTTGTCCAGGTTAAAGGAAAATTCCCCAACCACTAACAGGCATCATTAGTTTTCATTTGCTGAGCACCCAATGGATGGATCAGCCTCTTGAGTTGGGTGCTCTACTGCACCACCTGCTATGATCTCTCCAGGTGTATCTGCAAATGACTCTTGAGCTAACAAGCCTGAAGTTTTTCTGCTCATCAGAAGGGCACTTAAAGAAATTACCCATTTGCCTAGAACTGGAGGCAGCTGCAGTCACTGGTATCCCAGATGGTCCCACTTTTTAGCATTACAAATCCTAGAAGAACCTGACAGTACAATAGAGCTCTCACCCCAGCATCCACCTTCTCACTTGCTTCTCAAAGGCAAGATGTCAAAGATGCACTCGTAGTCATTTTCAAGCTTTAGAGCTTTTGGTACCTATCAGAGAATAAGCGCAGCCCAAATACATCAGATGCCATTTGTGAGTGCATGCCAAAAATACCTTTGGTAAATTCCAAGATGCGATTCTTAAACTTGATGAAATATTAGTGTAATTGTATGAACTCGCCACAAGATGGCAGGCTTTAACTTCCTAAAGGCAACCTAAGCTTTTTTTTTTTTTTTTTTTGGCTTTGATGCCTGTAGGGTTGGGGGGGACACTGAAATGACAAGCTGTGGGCAGAGGCATCTACTCGTTTATTAATATTACCAGGCACAGCTTGAGGAGATCTCACATCACTTTAGGGAGCTGATTTGTTTTGGCATTTGGTTGAAGAAGAATTATTCCCTAATCATTTGTCAGGTGAGATGCTTTTAAATTTTAGCTCTTGCCCTCAGAGAAAACAATGTCTGCCAGAAAGATTCACAGCAGGGGCATGTGTATATGTGCAGAATATTCACCGGCATGTTAACAACACAGCAATGTTGTTTTCCTGGAGTTTCAGAGAATAAAGAATTAACCCAGGGACAAAATAAATGTTAATATACATAACTGAAACACACAAACAAATCAGAGGGGGGAAATCCTATTAATAGTAGCTCGCAAATACTATTTCCAACTATGTTTATAATGTTCACCATTAATCCTGCTTTCTCTTTGTTACTTCTAATGACTCACCTACTAAGAGAGTCAAGAAAATAAAGATGCAAAAATCTGTATTTTAAGATGTCCAGCCATATCTTCAAAAAGCAGAAAACAGAAAATCTGTTGCAACTTGTTTAGAAAGAGAGAATTATGCACTCGTACCCGTGGGGAAATCTACCAGTTAGGGAGAGGACCAACTAAGGCTGGAAACAAATGAGGACAGGGACCCACACAGGGGATGGTGGTTCAAACAGAAATAATCTAGGATCTCTTGAACAAAATGAGGAAGTAATTTGGTTGCATTTGGATCAAGCAGATTTCAGAGCAATAAGAATCAGGTAAGGGCAACAGAGAGAGTTAATAGGGGGCATTTTAGACTCACAATTAAGATATAATTTCCTCAGGGCCTTGGAAATAACAATAGCTTTCAGAAGGTCATTAGCACGCAGACTTGGAGATTACTTCAGCCCATCATGTTCATAAAGACGCACTCACGGGTCCACCCCACAAGAGCCAGTAATTAGATTCTACCACTCCCTGTCCCAAGCAGTCTTGCACAGTGACCGTTAACCTCGGCCCCAGAGGTGGGAGAAGTGATCCGAGAATGCTGTCTGCACAGGTCAGGGCTCATAAAGGCAGTAGCAATTAACCTCCCTGCAAGCGTGTGTCTGCCTGGGAGGGGTGGGGGAGTGCGCTTGGCAAATTAAAATGCATTTATAAACAGTAGGTTAGAAGAGCTCAGAGGAAGAAGAACCTTGTAATGAGTGATGGTTATTAATGATCATTATTATCCTTGTCCTGACCCAAGAACTATTTCTTAGAATGTTTACTTAGTATGCAAACTGGAGCTCAAACATAAGAGGCTCTGAAACTCTGCTGTTAAATCTGCCGGTTTTATAGAGATAAGAAATGGCTCCATGAGTGAAGTTCCCTTCCTAAAAGTTAATATATATAAATGAAAATGTTACAGCCCCCACATTCCACCAGAAGAGAAACAGATCGATTCTCTGTGTGGTGACTCCCATAATGGAGGGCATTAGGGCAGGTTTAACATGAATAAGATATTGATTTCCCCTTGTTACTTGATTCAACTTTATTCCTTTTGGATTGCCAGAGGCCTCTGTGACAACATAGGCTGTGGTCTGGAGAGCAATTGGGAGCTGTATTTTCTGGTCCTTTATTTATTCATTAAAGTTTTGCACTAACAATATCTCAGTGAAAAAGAGAGAATTCAGTGAAACTCCACAAGTATGCCTGATCCTTTTTAGACTTAATAAAGAAAGTAAACAGGTTATTTTAGAGGCACTGAGAAAGGAACAGGCAGGCCATTCTTAGTATGGTTTATGCTATTTGTTGAGGATTTTTTGTTGTTGTTAAAATTTTATCATTTATAAATATAGTCCCGATAATATTTTATATACTACACAAAAGGATTTTTAGGGAAAAGGGAACATCTCCTCTCACATACCTTCCTCTCTCTCCTAATCCACATGTCCCCTGTTGGTAGCACTGATAACTTGGATATACGTCCAGGATTCTCTGTGCTTTTGTATGCATACACACATACAGAGTTTTATGAAAACAGAATTATGCCATCCATGCTGTTGCAGAATTCAATAGGTCTTGGATCTTTCTATGTCAGGATAGAGAGTGTCCTCAGATTTTTAACAGCTGCATAGTATTCCACAATAAAAATACTCTCTCACCTATTTAATCATTCTCCCACTGACCGGCTTTCAGAATGTTTTCTGTTTCCAGTTGCTACAGTGATGCCTCGGGGTTCATATACCTTGGCCTCACAGAGAGTCCCTGGACATGTGGGCAGCCAGAGGAGAGGCAAAATGGTGGTGGAATGGGTCTGGGATGGCAAACGTATGTCCTGGAACTACTACCTCCCTGCTCTGGCAGCCTGTGGCCCCAGAGACAGGCTCAAGAGAATATCTGCAAAGTTTCCCCACCCCTGCCTAATCCCACCCCATCCCCACATCACTCAAAACAAGACGGGTGCAGGTGAGGCTGAGAATCAGCTGGAAGACCTGGGGAAGCCTCATATGTAAGATGAGAATGTTGAAACTGAGTAAATGTGTTGGACACAGTGACCTGAAGCCAGGGAAGTTGCGAGAAGTGGACACTTCAGCAATAGACAGAGTGTTTAGAGCCAACACAGCAAAAAGAAACAGACACATAGCAGCAGAATCCACAGAGGAAAGCTCTGCCCAGGGCCACAGGCAGGAGAGTAGGACAGAAGGGGAGAGAAGAGGCAAGTCTGAATTGCCTGAGTATTTATTCTAAAGATACTGAGTTCAACAGAAGACTCTCAAATGTGCTTTGAATTGGCAAGCTTATCACCACCAGTGAAAAAGAAGAATTGAGCATTGTATTAGCTTTCTATGGCTTCTATAACAAAACACCACAAACTGGGAGGCTCAAACAACAGAAATGTATCATCTCAGAGTTCTGGAGACTAGAATTCAGAGATCAAGGTATCAACAGGGTTGGTTCTTTCTGAGTGCAGGGAAGGAGAGACTCTTTTCTATGCCTGCCCTCTAGCTTCTGGTGGTTCAGCGGCAATCTTTGGCATTCCTTGGATTCTAGAAGCATCACTTTCATCCCTGCCTTCATCTCCACATGAAGTTCTCCCTGTGTGCATGTCTGTGTTCATTTCCCCTTTTTATAAGGACACCCTTCACATTGAATTAGGACCCACTGTTATGTCCTCATTTTAACTTGATTGCCTCTGTCAAGACCCTATCTCCAAATAAAGTCATATTCTGGGTACCAGAGGTTAGGATTCCCATATATCTTTTTGAGGAGGACACAATTCAACCCATAACAAGTGTCAAATTTGGGGAAAAGAAATAAAGTTCTACTTTTGCATACCTGAATTATGTAGACTGGAATTTTTACCCCCAAAACTATTTTGCTTGCATCATAGGAAAACTAATAGAGAGCTCTGCCCTTGAAGATGCTTGAACTATAGCCTGAAAAAATGTGTTTCCATACTATATTGTCTCTAAATTCAGCAGAATTGGCAAATAATCCCTTGAATTTCACTGCCTTACCTCTGCAAAAGTAAGACCCTCGAGGTTCCAGGAAAGACTCCACTGGCCACCAAGCCCAACAGAGAAGAGGCCCTGGGGAGACGGCAGAATAAGTTGCCATGTGGTGAGAGCTGCATTGCAAAGGTGTGGGAGGAGACACCTGGGACCAGCCAAGGGGGCTTCTCGGGGTGCCTGGACAGAGCATAGATTCCTGAGAGCAGGGAGCAGGACAGGAGCCAGGCTGAGAGCAGGGAGCAGGACAGGAGCCAGGAAGCTCAGCTGATGAATCTTTTTGAGAGGCAGCCTTCCCAGGACCCATCACCTATTCATGATTTACTTTCCTGTTCATCCCAGGAAGAGCTAGACAGTGGCCTCAAGGGGTGGTCTCCAGGTGCCAACCCCAAAGGTCAGTCCAGGTCTCCATGACAGCATTTTGAATGGCCAAGTAGAAAGCAGGTAAGGTTCATGCCACACTCAGAGAGAAAGAAACTTGTCAGAGCCAATTTGCTTTCAACTAGTAAATATCTGAAATAAGGTCAGCAACTCGGCAGCAGGAGGCATTTTGTGAAGCTTACGAAGGACTGCAGTACCTGCCATTCTTTCTTGATAGTTTCTATAAGACCTCACACACTGACAGAGATGGTTATGGAGCTTGCTCAAGGCTGCTGTTGTCTTTGTATGTGTCAGAAGCCCCACAGGTCCTTGGAGGGTGGGTTTCTCAGTACCAACAGTGGATGAACTGTTGGAGACTACTGCAGGACATTTCTTTTTCTTTTCTTTTTCTTTTTCTTTTTTTTTTTTTTTACTTGAATGTCTGGGATACATTTGCAGAACACGCAGGTTTGTTACATAGGTATACTTGTGCCATGGTAGTTTGCTGCACCTGTCAACTCGTCATCTAGGTTTTAAGCCCCGCATGCATTAGGTATTTGTCCTAATGCTCTCCCTCCCCTTTTCCCCCAACCCCTGACAAGCCCCAGTGTGTGTTATTTCCCTCCCCGTATCCATGCCTTCTCATTGTTCAACTCCCATTTATGAGTGAGAGCATGCGTTGTTTGGTTTTCTGTTGCTGTGTTAGTTTACTGCAGTACATTTCTACTTGAGAGCAGAGCTCAGAAAATGTCTTGTGTCAAAATTAACAAAAATCACAGAGAGAAGCCACAGGGAGCTGGTGAGTATCTCACATCTAACTGCTAGATGGAGTTTTACTCCGTAAAGCAAAAATTGCATATCATGTGCACGTATCTAGCAGACTACTTGTCTAATAGAATATGGTAAATAAACAACCTGAGTCTCTCACTCTCACTAGGATGGCTTTGGGCATCTTTTTCTGTACTGGCATAGAGTTCCCCAGGGGCAGAAGCTCCAGTTGCCCAAGTGGTGACCTGCTTGATAACACCCTTTCCTTCCTTGACTCAGTTCCCCCTTCTTCTACTGGTGTTCCCTGGCATCACTTCCCAAATGAACTACTGGCACCCAGATCCTTGTCTCAAGGAGTAGCCAGCCTGGGACAACCACCTGCTGTTTCACCAAGGTGTAGACCATGTTCTGAACATGGATTTGCAAAGAAACCTACTCTGTGCTCACCACTGTGCAGGCTGGAGGAGAACACAAAGTGAGCAGAAGACAACCTCGAGACAAGCAGCTAGTGAGGACTGTGGATGAAGGTAGGGAGATAAGTAGGTTTCACTGAGAAAGAGAGGGTGGGTGTAGAGGAGCTATTTTCTCCCCCTGTTCCTACATCAGATCTTAAAATAAGAATGTGTGCCCTCTTGGTATACTGGGGAGAAAGTCCTCCCACTCTCCCCCCATCATCTGCATTCCCTCCATGTCCCATCTGCTGGTGCACGGAAGTGTCCTGAGCATGTGGCTAGCTCTCACTGGCTCTCTTTTGGACACCATCTGCCCATAACCCTCAGGTGATTTCCTTCACACTCCAGACTTTTCCACGATATAAAAGTCTACCTTTCAGCCCTGTGGAATCTCGCTTCCCTACCTGTGACGAGGTCATAAGTTCAATTCAGAGGGGGAAGACTATGAAGTCCATATTGCCCTGGACTCTGAGCCACATTCCCCTGGGACTGGAATAAGATAGATACACCCAGCCATTTTGGACTCCTATGCCTAGTCCTCAACTGGTTCAGGATTCAGAGGGCAGATGGCATGATTAATCAACACTTTCAAACAACAACTGTCACCAAGTATGCTACTTTCATGGTGGCGCAGTGGGAAGAGGACTCTCTCCCTTGCTTTTCTGGCAGGAGTGTTTCACGGCTTCATTTTGCGGACAAAAGGTCTCATGGTTGACCGAGAAACAAATTGCCAGCAGCAGGCAGCAGGAATCATGCAGCCCAACTCCAGGTGCAAACATCTGGCTTCTCTCTGATTCATTTAGTGAAGATTAGTTCCCCTCACATCTCCAAACTGGCTGCTCTAGAAAGCAGGCCCACCTGAGTTGTAGCATGAGAAAGGGAAGTGTTCTTAGCCAAGTCACTTCCCATCTCAGGGCCAGAGAAAGCCTGCCTTTTGTCTCCTGCCTTCTTTCCCAGATCCACATTGCTATATCTCCATGAACAAATATGTTTTTCTGTCAGGTCTTTGACTTCCAATTGACTCTGTGCTGCAGCCAGACCCTAAAGTATCTCACACCCAAACTCATCTCCATTTGCATAGATAATCTTAAGCCTCTTCCAGCTTTAGGACTCTATGATACTATGCGTCCAGAATTCCCTATGCATAGAACATCTTAACCCTTCGATTTCCCCCAGCCTGAGAGTCACAGCCCCTGCCCCCACCACCACCACCTAGAAGTTGTATAACTGTAAATAATCCCCTGAAAATCCACTGCCCCACCTCTGCAGAGGAGAGACCATCAAGGCTCCAGGAAAGACCCCGCTGGCCACCCAGTTCATCAAAGAAGAGGTCCTGGGTGGCAGCAGGGTAATTTACCCATGTGGTGGGTCATGCACTGCAAAAGACAGACAGCATGTGCTGCATCACTCAAGACTGGACAGAGAGGCAGAGGTAGACAGACAGACCAGATCCACCCCAACCCACGTAGACCCTATCTCCCTCTGGGCTCATGAGAAACTCATTTCTATGACAAAGATTGGTAGTGGGAGAGAGATAATGTTTGTCACAGTGAGATCATGTGAAACAATTATTTCAATGCCCCAGGCACTGGCCTACATAACTTCAGTAAGATTGATCTGGGTTAACACCAAGGGAGTTTAGACAGTGGTGGCGAGTTCACTGTAATGGGATTTGACCAGAAGGACATTTTCCCTCTTCTTGGGAACTCTTATTCTCCACAACCTGCCATTCCAGGAAAGTCGCAGGCTTCCCACTGGGGCGGAGCATGAGAGAGAGGCCTCAACCCCAATAGAAAAGTCAGAACAACGTGAGCAATTCTGCGCTAGGAGAAAGGAAACTAACCAATTTTCCATCCTCTGTGAAATGGGCACAATTCAGATTCAAAACAGATGTTTTACCTCCAAGGTAAACATATGAAATGTCACTTAGGATCTCCAGCCCAAAAGCCCTTTGACAGTGTAGCGGAAGGTCCCTGGCCTGGGGTCTTTTCTTCAGCCACACTTACAACCAGGTTGGACAATGAGGACTGATACTAGTGTAAGAATACCTCAATGTAGTTATTTGTGTTTATATCTTACCTCTGTCCTAGCGGCAAGGACCCTGGATTGGGAGTTAGGAACCCTAGGTTTGGGCTTGGCTCAGCACTGAAAAGCTAGAAATCATGAGGAAATCTTTCACCTATTCTAAATCCCACTTCTCTGCTTCAGAAACTAAATGGATAAACCAGGACACCTCTAAGGTTCCTTCCATCTCCTAAAAATATCTCCATTTGTATTCATTTTAAAGATACAAAATGGTTTAATTGCTTGCATAGGCCATATTCAGGAAAAAGGGTAAAAAAGGCAGATAATGAAGAGTAACACCTTTTTCAAGACACCACTAAAAAATAATTTATATTTCAAGACTTCCATTCTGTTCTTCTTGGAAAGACTGAAAGAAATTCTTTCTTTTATCTGGTTGCCAGACAACCTTTATATTGAGGCTTTCATTTCCCTTTTCAGAAAAGAAATTAAAAAATCTAGCTTTGCGTACCTGGTTAGAAGCAAAAGCTGACTTCAGGTGTCCCTTCGGAAGAACATGAATTACAACTGTCCATCAGTAGTTTGACTGATATTGAAAGAATATAAGGAGAACATTTCAAGATGGCTGATGAAACTAAAAATGGCTAGCAGAGACTGGAGGCTAGAAGAAGCTACAGAAAGAATTGATAATTAAATTGTGTATTGTATTTAGTGCTTCTTTATTTTGCAAAGATGTCTTCCCAAATAGTGTTTCATCCTCATAGAAGCCTTTTGAGGAAAAAGGAACAGATAGTCCTTTTTACCTGATGAGTGAATTACATCCAAAAGGATAAGCAACTTGCCTTCATTTTCATATCATTTTCATAATAACAGAATAGGTTTAAACTTCTTGTGGGGAATGAATTTAGTGACCTCTGAGATCTCTTCCAATTCAGAGATTCTCTGGAGCTCAGGTTTCCAGCCTCCCCAGCTTGGTGCTTGGCCTCTGGGTAAGCCTCTACAGAAGACAAGGTTATTTTAATCAATCAGCTTCCACTAGATCAGCAGCCCAAGAAGGGCCAGTACAGAGAAAGATGGGAAGATACACAGGCAGATTAGGAAGTGTCACTCTAAGCACAGAAATCCAGGATTACTTTTGTAGGGGGAAAGGAGAATCACATTTCCCTAGGCTCAAGCCCCTGGGATAATATTTTTTCCTGGGCAACCAGGGCACCTCCACTTAGTTAGGGCTCAGTGCAATGTTTTAGAAAGAAACAAAAAGAAGCTCAATTGTTGGGACCCTTAAATTAGGATACAACCAAACTCAGCAGAGTAAATTACTTTATTTGGGGTCTCTATCATGATCCTGCTAGTTGCAGGACTGAAGACCACTTGTCATATTTTAACTTGTTTGTTTATATGTCTATCTTCCCATTAGACTGTAAATCCACCGAGGGCAAAAACTGATGAAACATTCAGGTAGATTTAAATTAGCAGGGAGAAACCACAACCACTTAAGTTGTAATCTTCCATGCCTGCTTTATTTGTCCAAGAATGCCAGAAGCAGCAGGGAAGCCACCTGGAGCTGAATCAGAGGAGCAATTCTCAGCACAGCTTTCCTTGGTGCCCAGAACACCCAGAGAAGCTGGGCATTGTTGCCCAGGCCTAATCCTTTTATACCCACACTCACATCACTATTCAAGAATACGCACATACGATCCATGCCTTTTATAGGAAATACTTCCAGCTAGCCATCATCTTTGTGGTTCTTGAGCCAAACCCAGCATAGGCAAGGCCACATTCAGAGGGAGAAGTTGGATGAGATAGGAGGGCAGAAAGTGGAAGCAAGTACCCAGCTATTCTTCAACAGTATCTCTGCCTCCCTGTGCTCAGCAGGCTGAGAATTCCAATTCCGTGCCACTTCTTATTCCTGTTTTTCCAGTGTCTATACAATGTCTATTCCATGTTTTGCACATTCTATGGAATGCTGGGCCAATGGTTTGTACAGTGAGAAATGCACTTTATATGCATTTTCTAAAGGACTACTCCAGTTGACTCTTAGCTAAGTTCCCATCTCAGCACAATGCAACACCTTTTTTGCTCCCTTCCACCAACCACTGTGAACTTATCAGTAAGACATTTGCATGTCAGAGGGTGGAAAATAAATCCAACTTAAGTTCACTTCTACCTCAGTGAAGTGTCTAGGGGTCCAGTGTTATTGGGCCTGCTGAGATATCCCTCCTGAGTGAACAATAAGTTGTTGCATCTGGCCCCTCCTATAACCAAGAAAGAGGCACAAAGCCTACTAGGCCTATTTGGATTTTGGAGGCAACACATTCCTTCTCTGAGTGTGTTACTCTATCCCATTTATGTAGTGATACAAAAAAAAAAAGAGCTGCTAGTTTTGAGTGGAGCCCAGAACAGAAGAAGACTGCAACAGGTTCAGGCTGCTATGCAAGCTGCTCTGCCACTTTGGCCATATGACCCAGCAAATCCAATAGTGCTCGAGGTGTCAGTGGCAGACAGGGATCTGTCTGGAACCTTTAGCAGGCCCTCATGGGTGAATCACAGTGGAGGCCTTCACGATTTTGGAGTAAGGCCCTGCAATCATCCACAGATAACTACTCTCTTTTTGAGATAGCTCTTGGCCTGCTACTGGGCCTTAGTAGAAACAGAATGCTTGACTATGAGCCATCAAGTTAACATGTGACCTGAGCTGCCTATCATAAACTAGGTGTTATCTGACCCACCAAGCCATAAAGTTGTGCATGCACAGCAGCACTCTGTTATCAAACGGAAACGGTATGTATTTGATCAGGCCCAAGCAGGTCCTGAAGTAAGTTATATGAAGAAGTGTCTCAAATGCCCATAATTCCTACTCCTGCTTTACTGCCTTCTCTCTCCCAGCCTGCACCTAGGACCTTATGGGTAGTACCTAATGATCAGTTCACAGAAGAAGAGAGGATCAGGCCTGGTTTACAAATGGTCCTGCATGATATGCAGGCGTCACCCAAAAGTGGACAGCTGCAGCACTACAGTTCCTTTCTGGGACATCCTTGAAGGACAGTGGTGAAGGGAATTCTTCCTAATGGGCAGAACTTTGGGCAATGCACCTGTTTGTGCACTTTGCTTGAACAGGGGGCACAGAATGGCCAGACATGTGATTATATATTGATTCACTGGCTGTAGCCAATGGTTTGGCTGGATGGTCAGGGACTTGGAAGAAACATGATTGGAAAGTTGGTGGCAAAGAAATTTGGGGAAGAGGTATGTAGACAGACCTCTCAAAGTGGGCAAAAGATGTGAAGATATTTGTGTCCCATGTCAATGCTCAACAAAGGGTGACCTCAGCAGAGGAGGATATTAATAATCAAGTAGACAGGATAACCCATTCTGTGGACACCAGTGAGCCTCTTTCCCAACCACCCCTGTCATCAGCCAATGGGCTCATGAACAAAGTGGCCATGGTGGCAGGGAGACTATGCATGGGCTCAGCAACATGGACTCCCACTCACCAAGGCTGACCTTGCTACAGGCATCACTGCATGCCTAATCTGCCAGTAGCAGAGACCAACATGGAGCCCCCAACATGGCACCATTTTCCAGGGTGATCAGCAAACTAACCTAGAGGCAGGTTGATTACACTGGACTACTTCCATCATGGAAGGGGCAGCATTTTGTCCTTAGTAGAATAAACACTTTGAATATGGATTTTCCTTCCCTGCACACAATGCTTATGCCCAAACTACCACCTGTGGACTTAAGGAATGCCTTAGCCACCATCATGGCATTACTCACAGCATTGCTCCTGATGAAGGAACACATTTCACACCCAGAGAAGTGTGGTGATGGATTATGCTCATGGAATTCACTGATCTTACTGTGTTCCCCATCATCCTGAAGCAGCTGGCTTGATAGAATGGTGGAATGAATGATTTTTGAAGTTGCAGTTACAGCACCAGCTAGGTGAAAATTCTTTACAGGGCTGGAGCAAGGTTCTCCAGAAGGCTGTATATGCCCTGAATCAGCACTCAATGTATGGTACTGTTTCTCCCCTAGATAGGAATAAAGGGGTGGAAATGAGAGTGGCACCGGTTACCTTTATTACCCCTAGTAATCCACTAGCAAAATTTTGCTTTTTGTTCCTATAACATCATGTTCTGCTAGCCTAGAGGTCTTAGTTCCAGAGAGAAGAATGCTTCTACCAGGAGATATAACAATGATTCCACTGAACTGGAAGTTAAGGCTGCTGCCCAGTCACTCTGGGTTCCTTGTATCTCTGGGTCAACAAGTTAAGAAGGGAGGTATGGTGTTGATTGGGATAATTGACCTGGACTGCTAAGATGAAATTGGACTCCTGCTTCACAGTGGAGGTGAGGAATAATGTATTAGTCCATTTCCACACTGCTATAAAGAACTACCTGAGACTGGGTAATTTAGGAATAGAGGTTTAATTGACCGGGTACAGTGGCTGACACCTGTAATTCCAGCACTTTGGGAGGCTAAGGCAGGTGGATCACAAGGTCAGGAGATCGAGACCATCCTGGCTAACATGGTGAAACCCCATCTCTACTAAAAATACAAAAAATTAGCCAGGCATGGTGGCAGGCGTCTGCAGTCCCAGCTAATCAGGAGGCTGAGGCAGGAGAATGACGTGAACCCGGGAGGCAGAGCTTGCAGTGAGCCGAGATCGCGCCACTGCACTCCAGCCTGGGCAACAGAGCAAGACTCTGTCTCAAAAAAAAAAAAAAAAAAAAAGGAAAGAAAAGAGGTTAATTGACTCACAGTTTGGCGGGCATTACAGGAAGCATGACTGGGAGGCCTCAGGAAAGTTACAATCATGGTGGAAGGCAAAGCGGAAGCAAGCACCTTCTTCATATGGTGGCAGGAGAGAGAGAGTGAGGGGGGAAGTACCACACATTTTTAAATCATAAGATCTTTTGAGAATTCACTTACTATCACGAGAACAGCATGGAGGAAATATGCCCCCATGATCCAATCACCTTCCACCAGGGTCCTCGGTCAACATTGGGAATTACAATTCAACATAAGATTTGGATGGGGATGCAGAGCCAAACCATATCAAAGAGTATGTCTGAAATAAAGGAGACCCCTTAGTATTACCATACCCTGTGATTAAGTAAATGGGAAATTCCAACAATCCAATCCAGGAAGGACTCTGAATGGCCCAGATCCTTCAGGAGTGAACATTTGGGTCACCCAACCAGGTTAAGAACCATGACTAGCTGAAGGGCTGGTGAAAGCAAAGGGAATATAGAATGGGTAGTATAAGATGGCAGTTATAAATACCACCTATCACCACCTGGCCAGGTACAGAAATGGGAACTGTAATTTTCGTATTTCCTCCCCACTTGCTAAGAATATGTTTGTGTATATATACACATATATTAAGCAAATATCTTTGTTTTCTTTCCTCTCTTGTTCCTTTATCATGTAACTTCAGGCTTATTGACTTTATACCAGTATTTAAGTATCGCTCATTTTTGTTTAACAAAATAATTGTGTTATTGTTCATCATGATATCTAACTTATAGAATATCAGGAGAAGAGTAAACATCAGTCAAGAACTTTACCTTCTCTTCCAAGGATGGTATTAGTGTGTTCCTGGTTGTGCAAAGGACAGTTGTCTCACTTTAGGTGGAATTATGACCTTGTTATTGTCTTTGATTGGAAATTATAATTTAACAAGATGCATATAGATGGTAAGTTGATAAGGGGTGGACTATACTTAACCATCATTAATTTGAGACTTCAACCTGACCAGATTGAGTGATGCCTGCAGGGCTGGTGAAGCATTGTTTCTAGGTGTGTCTGTGAAGATGTTTCCAGTAGACTGAAAGAGGAAGACCTGCCCTCAATACGCCAGTTGGCTGGGGGCCTAGCTGGAACAATAAGAAGACAATTGGCTCTCTCTACTCTTTCTCTCCCTTAGGGAGCAGAATGCTTTTCCTCTTCCTGCCTTTGGACATCCAACTCCAGCTTCTTCAGCTTTTGGACTCTGGAACTTGCAGCAGTGGCCTCTTGAGGGTTCTTGGGCCTGACTAAGGGCTGTACTGTTGGCTTCCCTGGTTCAGGGGCTTCAGACTTGGACTGAGACATGCTACCAGCTTCTCTAGTTCACCAGTTTGCAGTTGGCTTATCTGCCTCTATGATTGTGTGAGCCAATTTCCCCTAATAAATCCTCTCCCATATATCCTATTGGTTCTGTCTTTCTGGAAAACCCTGACTAATATACATCTCAACACATTTTTGTTCCTATCCAAACTACACAAATCTGAGCTCTCAAGACATTAAGTAACTTGAATGCTGACCCGGCAAGATAATGCCATAACCTATGTCTTCAAGCATTAATTCAATAATCTTCTCTATTGTACCACACAACCCTTCTCTTTCTAAAAAACCCACAGTGGTTCACCATGGCTTAGCACATCAAATTTAGATGTTTCTGCTCAGTCTTTTCACCCTCCTATCTCTCCATCATTTTTAGCATTGACTAAAGGTTCTCTTTGCTCACCAAGCTCACCTGATGGTCATCTCTTCATTCTTTCCTTTTTATGGAAAGGCGTAAAAATGTTCTCCTGCCTCTTTCTATGTATTCATGTCTCCTCTCTTTCCGTGGAAACTCAGGTCAGACCTCACCTCCTCCAGGAAGCCCACCCAAACCAGCACCACTTCACTCATCCCACTCTGACCATTCCCCCACTCAGTATTTCAGCAGTGTTTATATCCTCTTTGTGTGGTGCCAGGTTTACACTGACAGAGGCATAGTGGGCACTGAATAAAGATTTGTCAAGTGATGAATAAATGAATAAGTGGATTCTGTTCATTCAGTCTCTGAGCTTTCTCTCAAATGTGTCCTTCATCCCTGTTCTCGCTGTCATGGCCCCAGATAACGATCTCATCATTTCTCCCATGGACCATCAAAATAGCCTCCTAAGAGCCTCCTCTCCCTTCCACGGTCCCTCAATTCAGACTCCACAGGGCCACCTGAATGAACTTTCTGAAAGAAATCTGATCATGTCTTCTATTCTTCATGATTCTCCAATGCCTTTGAGATAAAATCAAAAGCTCTTACCATGACATTCAAGGCTTTTCACAATTAAGTCTCAAACATTCTCCTGTCTCCATTACTTTCCACTACCAATATATTCATGTTCGAGTTAACTTTTGAAGCACGGGGTGTTTGCTTGCACTTCTGAGCCTTGTTAATGCTGCTCCTTTTGCCTGGGGCATCCTCCTATCTTCTCTACCTGATGAATTTTTGCTTATGTTTTGGGGCCTTCCACAGATATCATCACAACCTGAAGGTCTACCTTGCCCCTTGCCCAGTCTCAGAGCTAGCCCTGCCCTCCCCTGGAATTGCCCTGGCTTTAGTCAGCCCACATTGAGCAGAGTGCATGTAACTGCTAGTTGGTCAGTCTTGCTTCTTACTCTGCAAGCCTCCTGAAAGCAGGACAAAGTGTTCCTGTCTTTTACATGCCCAGGCCCATTCAAGTACTTAGCTCCTAAGATGCCCTCAATGTTGCTGAATCTGTGAACAAAGCATCTTGTTCACACCATGTTAATTTGCATCCACTTGGAATCATGTACTTTTAGAACAGAAAGAGATATTAGAAAATATCTTTCCTCACTTGCTCATTTTGAAAATGAAAAAGCTTTAACCCACAAGAATTTAAGTGACTTGCTCAAGGTTGTAAAGAGTCAGGGAGGGGCACTGAGGCCTGGTCATCTGATTCATACCATCTTTTGCTTTATCGTCCATAGAAAGTTGTGACAAAAGACACAGTAAGCACCTCAAGGGTTAAAAAAAAAAGAATATCTTCTTTCTTTTGCATTGTCCTATACCAGAGGCTGGATACCCTCATTTGAATTCAACAAGTGTGGCTGACTGGATGACATTGACAGACCTGCTGCTCTGCGTTGCAATTGTGCAGTTGTCTCTCAATATCATTTTGAAGTGCATTGTAGTGAGCCAATTCAGTTGGCTTGAAATTTTAAAAATTCCTCAGATCCCTTGATTTTCTCAAAACTTATCTCAGGATTGTGTACATTGAAAGAGTTCAGTTAAATAATTATGGACACTGGCTTCGAATACCCAAGATCAAATGACAAAGTTCCTAACTTACGCAGTTAACCGAGACAAATATCAACGCCTAGCGCTTCCTTTCAGACTTTTGTCTCACAATATAATGCCAAGGATAATTTGTACTTCTTAGAAGGGAAAAGTCAAAGAAAGATGATAATAGTGATCATCACAGTAATAGCAGACTGACAGACATGCAAAGGAACTGACACTATCAGTCAATGGGAAAATAGGGCACTCAGATTCTTCTATTTTTAAATCTTCCACAACAATCTGACACAAAAGAAAATGCTCCTTTTCGGGGAAAAAAATGGATGCACTCCTGCTGTACTCTTTTGGCTTTGCAAGGCGATGTGCCCTTTGAGATCATCACTCCTTCCTGTCTGATGCTGCCATCAGCATCAGTTCACATTCTTCTAAAACAGAGAGTGTGTCTGAAAAGGTTCCAGAAATTTGCTTCAAGAAAATACACAACAAGTATTTTTCAATCATTTCCCAAAGAAAGGGAAATGGCCACTTTAGAGAGATTTAGTGGCTTTTAACAGTACATTCATGCACTAATGTATGCACAGCCTATAAGCGAGGAGGTTATCTTTATGCCACTGCTAATACACTCCATTTCCACTCCTTTGTCCTGCTTATAGTTAAAACAGGCTTCAGTAGTCACATTACTGTCATTTTGTGCTATCTGAAAGTTAAATCATAATGAGCTTTGAGATTGTTAGTTGTTTCTCTCTTGTTTCTGCAGAAATGCAGGCTTCTTTTTCATTTTGGAGAATGTGAGCCTCCAGGTTTCTATGATTGCCTCTCACGCCTTCTCTCTTCTTTTATTCTCTTCTCTTCTTTGGCTCAAAAAGCAAACTCATTACCAAACCAAATGTATAAGCCTCCCACACAGAATCTGGGGGAGAAAGACATCCCATTTAATTCAGAGGAGCCATTTCAGAGGCTAGCCGTGATCCACAATTTCACTGGCTTGTGGGACACATTAAGTGTAACCCAACTGAATACAGGACTGTCTCTTCAGGGACTGCTCTGTCATCTGAACAAAGTTACTGACTTGGAAAAGCAGCTACTTCTAGGGAGGCCATGAAGTATCCCACTCACCGTTTATAATTTAAAAATTAAAATAAAAATATGGATAATGATAGTAACACTTACATAATGATAATAACACTTACTAATCTGTGCCAGGCACTTGTCAAAGCACCTTACTCATATTACCTCATTTAATCCTCAAAACAACCATAGGAAGTTGGTGTTATCATTATCTTTATTTTACAGATGAGGAAAGTGAGGCTCAGAAAAGTTAGTAATCTGCCCAAGATCACACAGTTAACAAGTGGCAGATGCAGACTAAATTTCAAATACTCCTGGTTCCATTTTTTGTTCTTTACTACCACTATGCTATGCTGCCTCAAATTAAAGGACAAACATGTTAATATTCCTCTTGCCAAAAGTATCATAGAATATATTTTGAAATGCAGAATCTTAAAACAGATAAAAATAATAAGAGCAAATATTTATTAAGGGCTTACTATGTGCCAAGATGCATAACTTATAGCAAACTTATAGGTGGATATTATTACTCTTCATTCTTCCAGTGAGGAAACAGGTTACGTATTGTAGCTTGCCCCAAATCACAGAGTTAGGAATTAAACTCATAGAGCCTGACTCCTAAATCATCTTGGTATACGCTTCCTCTTCATCTTCCTGCCATAAACATGAGGAAAATGAGGCACAGAGAAGTGTAACATGTTACATAATACAATAACCTGATCTAATTGTTTCCAAAGGTTATTTTCTGAAAGCTCAGTCTAGGTCTCCTGAGTCTCAGTCATGTGCTTTTCTCACTGTTTAACTTCTCTACCTATGTTCTGTATAAGAACATCACCCAATACACACCCACACACAGAAACATGCACAATGTACATTACACTGCAGTCATGCTAAGTACATGGAGATTTTGCAAACACTGTTCTCTCTGCAGGCAATCCTCTTTTCTAAACTTTATGCTTTGTAAACACCTATACAAAGTTTGAAGTCTTCGTTTGCTTACCCAGGCAGAATTAGTCGCTGCTTCTTAGGACTCCCATGTTGCTTTATAGTGTTTATCACATTGTATTGCCATTTCTTGTCAGACTATAAATTCTGGCAAGAACTTTTTCTTAAATTTCTTTTTATTTCTATAGCCTTACCCCACGCCTGCTTCATACTAAAGGTTCAACAACTAAAAGCTGAACTAAATTGAACTTCTCTCACACAACCACTGACCCTATTGATCTAGTTCTTTGCTACTCAGAGTGGGAACCAATAGTGGACTCTATGTGACTACAATTTGGGAATTGCTTTAAATGAATCTCTCTCTGTTTAGTCTTCATTTGCAATAACCTGGAATTTATTTTTCCTTCTCACCAAACAACTGAGATGAACCCTATCAGTCATCTAAAATTTCTGGGACTTCACAGAGACACAAAATTTTGCAATCAGGTATTTCTTTAGGCTTGTCCAACATGGAGAGCACGACATTAATGTAACTTCTCTCCTCTCAGTATAAAACAAAATTTAATGGAAAATCAGAGTTAGATTGAAGAGTATAAAGCAATAAACTAAGAGCTCTTTTTCAACAATTACAATAGAAATATACATACTGCAAGTTAAAAGTTTAAATTAGCCTTGGAATTCCAAGTAAATTAATACATACATAAAAAATATACAGAGCATATTTCCTTATCAGTTTCCAGACACTGAAGATGAATAGCAGAAAGAGTTGATAGTGTTTCACATTTAGAGCTGCTAAGGACCTAAAAACATTTTTTAATTAGTTTTTCTTCGCAATTCTGGGTGGCAGGACCATATGGCTACCCATTTATTTTTAAAATGAAGAGAATAAGGCACATAGGGTTAAATGATTTGCTGAAATTACTCAAACTGCCACCTTCTGGCAGTAAAAATAGTAGTAATCATTTATATAGGGCTTCCTGTGTGACAGACAAAATGCTATCCATTTATATGAATTATCTCAGTCCACATTGGCACCATGAGGTAGATGCTATCCTATTTTCTCAATTGTAATATGCTAATGTTTTTAACATTTTAACATCTCTAATATTGGTGAATTTTACAATCAATGTCATGTTATAGTTTAATTGGCAGCATTTTTTTCTTCCTTAGTTGTACATAAAATAATGATGGCACTCCAGATTCAAGGAAATACAATATAAACCACATTTTTGCAGGTGAGGAAAGTGCAGCTTGACAAAGTAAAGTACCTGTCCAAGGTCATACATTTGGTGAGTGTAAGAGCCCTGGGATTTGAACTCAGGTAGTTGAAGCCCACACAGTTAACTATCTGCAAACCACGTTCCACAGGTATTCCCACTCACAGCATGTGAGTTGCCATTGTGGTAATCAATGGTCTATGCTGGCCCTAGAAAGCAGCAGTCTCGGCTGGGTGCTGTGGCTCATGCCTGTAATCCCAGCACTTTGGGAGGCCGAGGTGGGTGGATCATCCTGAGGTCAAGAGTTTGAGACCAGCCTGGCCAACATGGTGAAACCCCGTCTCTACTAAAAATACAAAAATTAGGCTGGTGTGGTGGTGGGTGCCTGTAATCCCAATTACTCGGGAGGCTAAGGCAGGAGAATTGTTTGAACCTGTGAGGCGGAAGTTGCAGTGAGCCGAGATCGCACCACTACACTCCAGCCTGGGCAACAGAGCGAGACTCCATCTCACAAAAAAGAGAAAGCAGCAGTCTTTTTAATTGTCAGTGTCACTGGGAAGAGTGATGAATAATGAATGAATGAAAAAAAGAGTTTCTCTTAACAGGTGGCCTTTGACATCTTTGGGTCTCCCGCAGTAATAGAAAGCATCCGCAAGTAGGAGAGGCATATGGACAGTGCTTGTTGCTTAGCCTTAGGTTGGGTGACAATGTCTTCCAGAAGGTACCATGAAGTCACACCCTCACTTTCACCCCCCAACTCTGCATGTCCCTCTTGCAAAGGGGGCCAAGCAAGAATCCACCTCTGATTAGATCATCACCTTCTGTGAAAGGACTCCATTTCCTAACATAGAGTAGACTTATCTCTAAACTGTGAAAACCCTTCTCAGACCACAACAAAGTTTCCATTATTGGTTGTCTTAGAAAACAAACTTGTCAAGGCCTAAGCATATGGCAATAAGAAAATGGATATGTATTTTTCTATTAACAGGAGTCAGAATGCAGTTGTATATAGGAATTGGAATGTGTTAGCTGCTAGGAGAGAGAAGCCATTGATTCCTGCAGCAGTGTGACTAATTAGGTTTTCTTTTGTGAAGGAATTAGTTTGTATTGATTCATTTATGTCTGATGTAACTCAGCAGTTCTCCCCCTGCCAGGGAAGCCTGCCCAGACTGGTAAGTGATAAGAAGCTGGCAGAGCAGCTCAGCCGGTTCAGTGGGGCTATGCGAACTTCTTGGCTGAGTAAGTGTGCAGGGCCAGGATGACCACATCACCCTGACTGGTCTCCTTTCCCTGATCAAACATAGGCCAACCATATGAACCATCTCTGCTGGCTGGATACAGAAAGGGCTTCATCATCCCAGTGACCACCACCCTACCCTTGGGGCAGTTATGATTTCACATAAGTAAGGATCCATATTGATTAAGATTCTATGGTTGCAAACAACAGACTCTGTCTCTAGCTAATTTGAACAATAAAAAGTACATTTTGGGAAGGACACAGGGCAGTTCACAAATATTAAAGAAAAGTTGAACTTTAGACCTTCCAGCAGCCAGAAATAAGGGCAGCTTGGGCAGTCTCAATAGCAGAACTACTGGACAGTCAGTTCAGGTTACTCCTCCAAACACTCTCCATCCTTGGGTCAATCTGCTTGAGATTTAAATTCCTGAAGAGAGTATCTGATTGCCCTTGGGGGGTGTGTTTGTGTGTGTGTGTGTGCACGTGCACACGTGCACGTGTGTATGCATCAAGAAAGGACATAATAATTCAATAGGAAGTCTCACCAAGAGTTGCTTGCAATGTGGGAAGAGTAGTTGTTACTAGCAGGAGGGAAGGATTCAAGGCAGACAAAAACAGTAGACATTCACTATAGAGTCCCAAACCAAGAGTTCTACAACAGGAGTAGGAGGGCAGAGCGTGTTCCTTTCCAGGAGCTACACCTGGGAAGTTCCTGGGTTCTGGAGGCTATTCAACACTGGAAGAGAATCCATGTGAGCAAATGAGTACTCAGGAATGGGAGAGACTCGGAAATCAGACACACAGAGTAGAATTGGAAGACAAAAAGACTGGACAGCAAGACAAAATTTCACCTTAGCCAGAATCATCTTAAATATTTCTTGCTGTTGCAGCAGCCTATCCACAACCTGATTCAGCCAGCCTTGTAACTCCAGAGAAAGAGAAAGTGGGATGTGAGCTGTGTAGGAGTTAGATAATGGAAAATAATAGCAAGTCTTGCCAATGACAAGAAAGAGAAAGCTAAAACAATTAGCTCTGCCACTGGAGAGCAGGTGGGCCCATGGCCAAACAGGGCAGGAAGTATCCTTGTGAGCCTCTGTTTGTGCACCAGTGCATGTGCACACAGCACACACACACACACACGTGCCACCCTGGGGTAACACCAGAGAATAGATGCTATTATCTTCAGTTTCTCCCTACCTCATTTCAAGGATTTAGTCCTTGACTTTCAAATTCTCCTCCCCCACAATTCTTTTAAACATTCACGAACTGATTCACTTGTATTGTGCTTTTGCATTTTGAGACCTATTATCTTTTGTTCCAACTGTGTAATAAGTTTTTTTGCCAAAACACAGTGAAAGGAGCATTTCATTTGTTGTCAGGAGATTTGGGTTTATCAAATCTAGGCTGGACATTCACCTCTGGGCTGGTCCCCTTCTCACTATTCACTACTGCAGTGTGACATGCATGGTAAGGAGCTGATGTTCATTCATCACTCCATCTCCTTGGCCATTCCCCTCCCCTAGGCCCAGTACTCTTCCCAAGATGCTCTTCCTTATAGCTGAATTGCACTTATCTTTCAGGTCCAGCCCAAGTGAAAGCAGTGTGGCATAGAGGAAAGTTGCCTTAGTTCAAATCAAAAGCCCTGGACAAATTATTTCTCTGAGTCTCTGTTTCATTATCTGTAAAACAGAGATAATCATACCTCCCTTTCAAAAAAAAAAATCTGTGAAACAGTTGATGTAGAAAGAAATGCCCACAGTAGGCACCTGATAGCCATTATCATTCATTATCCTTTCCGCAAAGCTTTCCCTGACCAGCCCTTTTCACAGTGATCTCTCATTTCTCTCCATTCCCTTGGTGCAAATCTCTGTATTATTTAAGTAGTCATCATTTGCTCAGGGCTACTAAAATGTTACCTTTCTTCTAACACCTATGTCAAAACTTTTCACTAATGTATATTTTAAAAGTTTATTTGACAGTGTGTGACCTGGGGTGCTCCTTTTCCAGAAAATGTCCTGCAAACTAAACTCCCTAATCTTTATTAAGCCCTAGCAACATGAGTAACATGTTCAAAAAGGTCATTTTGAGTAAGAGGTTTATAACTCTACCCTAAAAGCTCTGAATTTTTGCTCTTTTTTCCTTTTCAAGTTAGCCCAGAAATATTCTTCATTCAGCTTTTCTCTTCATTTATGAACCTTGGAATAAGCACATATTTCCTTAACTGCATAGTCAGTTGCCTCTCTTTTCCTGCCTGCACCATCCACAGATTGGCAGTCCTGTGTCCTAGTTGTGCATGTCACTCTTCACATTTCAGTTATGCTCAGCATTGGGATTTGTTAACTGGGAAAAGCATGGAAGTGGCTGAAAATAAAAGCCCAGGTTTGTAAGAAATCCTGCCCACTTTTCCCTTTTCACACCTCCCAGGGCACCATAGCCCTCTAAGGAGTTACTGAAGGAGCCATTTCATCAAAAGTCCAGCAACAACTGCTTCATTTGAGTAAAAAAGCAGAGACAGCAAGGACATTTAGAACCCTAACATCAATCCATCGAGTTCAAGCCAGAGACACAATCTGGCTTTCATGGAGGAGATGAAAGGGTATGGTTGACAGCTTCCCTGGGTGGGAGGTAAGTGAAGCCTGAAGGCTGTTTCTGCTGAGTGTGCTTATTGTCAGGTGTCTGGAAACAAATCCCTAAAAATTGAGCAAGATCAAAGGACTCATCAAAGGACCATTCATCAAAGCTGGAACTCCATGCAGTGTCTGCTAGAAATCATGTCTCCTATCCACACCCAGGAAAATCTGCACAGGTGGAGACAGACTTCACCCCTGCTTATTGGTGTAAATCAAATAATATGCAAAGGGAAGAGGGGAAAAAAAGATAAAAGTCAGAAAAATCAATGTCTCTGAGAGGTTTCAGGCCTTTTGAGACTCATAAGAAAAATGCTCACCTCCTTCTTCCTTCTTTTCCTAGGAAGACTCTAGCTAGCTCCAAAAATAGGCTTATGGTTCTTACTATTTATAAAAGATAGCACCTTGAATGTTAGCAATAATATTACACAATGTACAATTAGATCCAGTCTCTATCCTGTGAGCTCACATTCAGAAGCAATAAACCACTGAGATATAAATGAAAGACACAAAGGCCCTCAGGACCAAATATGTGCTAGTCATTTTACATATGTTTTCTCATCTAACGTTTTCTCCCGCTGAGCTATAGAAGCATGGTGAACTTTGCATCCAACAGGGTACCTTGGGTGTAATAGGTACTCCAAGAATTGGAAGAAGAGAAGTTTGACTTCAGTGAATGTCAGATGAAAACAGAGGGAGCTTGCCCTGATTACAGATGACAGGCAAATAGGCAGAAAAATGCCAGAGGCTACATCTACCCATAATGAATTACAAAACCATGACTGGCAGACAAACTTCCCACCGCATTTTCTTGAGAAGTAGAATGCATGCTATGAAGGTTCAGGTTGGCTACAGATTCATAGCTGACTTCGTATTGGAATTATCAATTCATAATCCTTCTCTATGTGGTCTCCAAGGCAAAGTGCCAAGTGGAAGAGGAACAATGGATGAAATGTTTCTCTCAAGAAAGAACTTGGTGAGACAAAGATGATGATTTTTATAGACTCAACGTTATGAGTCCAGATACATTTTTCAATAAAGACAAAAATAGAAGGCAAAGTTGGACATTGCCAAACATTGTGATGCCTTTGCCATACAAATATTGTCTTAATTTTAAAAGCATTTGAGAAATGTGGTAAGGACCTCTACAGTAGTTTCCTGGTATTTTTTCCTAGAACAAAATTAAATGTTGTAGAATTTGAAAGAATCAAAAACCATAAAGCCTAATTAAGTTTTCAAGTGAGAACTGAGTTCTCTCAACTGAAATCTTTTCATTAAGAAACTGGATCTTCATTTTTCACAATATTGGGGTCTTGGCTACAATTAGTCTTACTTTTCCTAATTGGTTTCAGGCAGTTTTCCAGGAAGTAACACCGGAATGCAAAATTAGGATGAGATCTTGCTGGGAGGGCAGTCACACCAGGAAGACTGTACCAAGGAGTAATCCCTCCAGGACATAAATCCACACACTTCAGTGACACTGTCAGAAATGTTCTCAACAGACTTGCTACACAGCCACCACCAGGGGTGGGGTGGGGGGTTGTCACTGCCTGTCAGACACACAGTTTTTACTTTGGTTTCTTAGGAAAATAGTACACACCCTTTCTGCTTCCTACTGACAGTGAATTATTCTGCCTGGGCTCAAGCAGAGAGAGGCTGACTGGGTTGGGAGCACTCAGCTACAGCCTATTAAACTGAAGTTGCCTTTAATGTTGGTTAATGACAAGGAAAACCCTGTGTTTCCATCTATCTATATAGCCAAACTCAGATACAGGAGGAAGTTTGTGCAGAAAAATGCTTTCATTTTACAAATTTCAATATTTTCCCAGCTTCTCATCTATAAATGCTTGAAAACATGTGATAAATGTAAAAATCTGACTTGAAAAAATTATTAAATCTATATTCTATGTGAGTTCAAGTGTATGCACACATGTTCACATACCCACAAACAAAGTAACTTTCCTGGAGGTCAAACTATAGGCAGCATTGTTAGGCAAAGGAGGCAACATACCTTTCCTCCCACTCTGTATCATTATCATTGGCTTTAGCATTTAAGTAGCACTGCACTTTTGGCTGCTCTTTAGAACCATACCTGTCATCTGGCCCTCAGAAATAATTTGCTTTTGGGGTTCAAACCAGAGAATGTCAGTTTGCAAATGAGACACAGAGAGGTTAGGTTCTTTGCTCAACATCTCAAATCAAGAAACAATATATGAGTACATACCTTTTAAGTAAGAACTGAGAATAAATTATGTAACCATCATATTCCCAGCCCCAGTTGTTAACCAGTTAAGTCATATTTCCTAGAAAATTTTTCTGGCCAATTCTATAGCAATTTCATTACTCATTTTGTATCTTTTTGTTTATTCACTATTGTAATCAGCCCCAGGTGCTTCTAACATGAATTTTCTGATATGAAATAATATTGATATGAAAGACTGCATACTTGGAATTATCCCTATGTTGGTCATATGAAGCCTAATTTTTTATTTATTTTAATATTCAAAGGCCATATCCATATCTTAATTGTCTAAGTCAACTGACCTAATTATAATGTCATATTTTTAATGTTTGTTTAATTATTTTCAGTAAAAGTTGATAATTGTGTATGTCCTTGTCACACAGTTTTAAAACAGGCAAAGGAACAATTTCAACTTCTAGTAATTTAGTGTTGGCCTTTAATGGAACAGTAAAGAAAAAGACAAGCAAACTCAACATCATGTGCCATGATTTGTCAACTGTAAAGCATCACACAAACGTATGTTCTTGTTGATGATGAGGTACTGATAATGATGATGATGAAGAAGAAGAAACGGTTGTATCTGCAGAGAAGCACCAAGCTTCACTATAGTCTTTAATTGTTAATTACGTAGACAATTAGTCTTGACTAATCTCAAATTGGTTTTGAAAATATTAGAGGTATAACATGTCTGGCTGCCTGGGCTGGAAGTATAAGCTCCTAACTGAAAATAAGCTGACCACATAGCATGTACTTTATTGCAATGAAAGGAACTCAGTCACTTACCTTTTCTTTGATCCTGGAACTTACCGAATGGCAGGAAGACTCAGAGTGTCATGAAATCTAACTGGAAATAACCTGGGACTACTTGTTCTTTTTTTGCATAGGATGCTGAAAGCACCTGGTTCCTTTTCAAAATCAGAATAGCCAATAACCTACAGTGATTTAACCTGGTATAAAATGTGAGCATTTTGAACTCAGATTTAATTCATCAAAGATTTCCTATCTGGAATTCTACAGCAATCAAGAAAATAAGTACAAACTTAATGTCCCTCAGGCCTAGCCAATCAGGTACAAATTAAACAACAAGCTACAAATAACTTACTCTGGTTTCTTTCTCTGTGCTATTTCCATGAGTATTTGTACAGATAGCCTAAGTTGTCCCATAAGTGGCCTGCGAAGAGTGCTTTCACCCCATTCTGATGTCTTCCTTTCCGGTGCAACACCCATCCCACCATTGCCTTCAGGTATTTGTTTCCTTAACTCAGGCTGTAGCCTCCCACTCCACCGCCCCCACACCCAGCATCTTTGATACCTAGCTCAAGTCAGTGACTCTAAATAACTGGCTAACTGATCAACCAGCCACTCCTAGACATGAGTAAGGCTGTGCAGTGTGGTAAAAGGGCCACAGACTCTGGAGCCAGGCTCTGCAGGGGTTCAAATCTCAGCTTTGCCAGTTTTCAGCTACTTCAGACAAGTTACTTAACCTCTCTTTGTCTCAGCTTCTTATTCTGTAAAACAGACATAATAAAATTGTCCTCTCATGAGATTGTTGTAAGGATTGAATTTGTGAATATATGTAAAGTGTGTGGAGTGAAGCAGTACCTAGAATATACAGTAAGCATTGTACAAGTCGAAGATCTTTTCATTAATAAGGGCAAGTGTTGAAAAACCTTGCTGATGTCCCATTTTCTGAAAAAATTCCCGCATCCCTTTGTATAGGCAGGCAGCTCTCTAGATACCTATGACCCCTGACAACTCTCTGGCCCTCCTTACACACTACAGATAGGACCACAGCCACCAGGGTCTCTAGTCCCTGGACTCTGTCCTTCTTCTAGCTATCATTCACATACCTCCCAATGAATCCCTCTGGCCACCACCACTCACAAGTGGCCCTAGAATAGATAAAGATTTGAATAAAATTTTATAGGGCAGTGAAGAAAAAAAGATTGCTAATATTAATAGAGAACTAAAGCAAGTCCTCTTGTCCATCTCCTGTCTGAATATTCCACAGAATAAATACCCTAGAACTCAACTCAGTCTTTGCCCAGAAATGCTTTCCCTTCCGCATCATCTGTTGCGTTACTCTGCACAGATGTTCTGCCCCTCTCCTCCTCATTGGCAGAAACACCCATCCAGCTCTTCTCTAGCCAAACTCTGTGGTTTACTTTGAGGATGGATCCCAACTATCCCCATTAAGCTTTTTACCTCTCTGAAAAGCCCTAAACAAGCCCACTTTCCCCCTAACATTTCCTACAGGTAGAAATTTAAAGCCCTATAGAATTGGGGAGCAGAAGAGGGGAGCAGCAGAGGCCAGCAGAGAAATTATCCTGGGCAAGTTGGATTCATCTTTCACCCCAAAGGCATCCCTCTCTCCTTAAATTTCTGACCAGCCTGTTTCTGAAGATGTGCCAACATATTTGTTGCTTACACTCTTTTCATAGAAAAAAACAGAAGGAAGATTGTGGCCAGGAACAATAAATATGACAGGCCCAGTTTGAAAACTAACTTTAGGGTAACACTTTAAAAAAAAATAGCAAAGATTGGAGAGCAGATACCAGCATGCAAAGTGTTTGTCATTTCCTATTTTTAAAAGTTGAATAGGCCGGGTCCAGTGGCTCACACCTGTAATCCCAGCATTTTGGGAGGCCGATGCAGGTGGATCATGAAGTCAGGAGTTCAAGACCAGCCTGACCAACATGGTGAAACCCCGTCTGTACTAAAAATACAAAAATTAGCCAGGTGTGGTGGCAAGCACCTGTAATCCCAGCTACTCAGGAGGCTGAAGCAGGAGAATCACTTGAACCCAGGAGACGGAGATTGCAGAAAGCAGAGATCATGCCTCTGCACTCTAGCCTGGGTGACAGAGTGAGACTGTCTCAAACACACACACACACACACACACACACACACACACACACACACACACACACATTTAATAAGGCAGGGTGCAGTGGCTCACTCCTGTAATCCCAGCACTTTGGGAGGTTGAGGTGGGCAGATCGCCTGAGGTCAGGTGTTTGAGACCAGCCTAGCCAACGTGGTGAAACCCTGCCTCTACTAAAAATACAGAAATTAGTCAGGCATGGCAGCGGGCGCCTATAATCCCAGCTACTAGGGAGGCTGAGGCAGGAGAATTGCTTGAACCTAGGAGGCGGAGGTTGCAGTGAGCTGAGATTATGCCATTACACTCTAGCCTGGGCAACAAGAGTAAAACTCTGTCTCAAAAAAAAAAAAAGTTTAATAACAGGTCATAAGGCCTTGTATTGCACCAACTACCTATCCTAAAATATGTGTGTTCTACCATGAGGAGGAAGTAGAAAATATGTGTGTTTGAAAAGGAAATCTTGAGACCCTTCAGGATCCTCAAAGTCTCTCATTATATATTTTTTTAATTTTGTCACTTTTTAGCAATTATAGCTTTAAAAATAATATAAACATATTTGGATCACAGTCTTCTAAAATCTTAAAACCCACTAAAGATTGCAAATTGCATAAAAACAGTTCCTTCTTTAACAAAAAGTATGGAAAAATATATAAAATAAACTCTAGGCTAACAGATGCAGATAAGCAAATGGAAGCCAAAATAGAAGTATCTTTGAATTTGTTCTCTCAAAAATTTTATGAAAATTCTCCAATTTTTTAGACAACGTAACTTTCTCAAGCTTTACTCAGAATTTTTTGGGAAAGACATTGTCCCACCTCACACCCAATTTAGGTGATTCTCATAAGAGTAGTTTCCAAGGTGCCATCTCTTCATCTCATTAGACTTAACTGAGTCTAGTAACCCAGAGTTCAACAATAGCTCCACCTCTAATTGACCTTGTAATTTCTCTGAGATTCCATTTCCCACTTGTAAAATGGAGATGATGATTCAAAATAAACCTTTATAAACTCCAAAGTAATACTTTCTTTCTAAGACAATTTACTGTTCCAAGGGGCATGTATAGCCTGGAAAGGTTACAGGGACAAATACTCAATTAACTTTTTGTATTTACTCCTTCAAACTATTTTATTGAAAGAAGCATCCCTCTCTTCTGCTTGAATTCTTAGAAATAATGGAAGGTTCTTACAATTTGTGTGGAGAGGGGAACAGCTATTCCCACACAAGCATTTTGTAGGGCTAAAAAGGCCAATCAAAAGAGGGACTTATGGGTTATAAACTAAATTAAGATCCAGAACAAACAGGAAGATGATTATTTCTTTCATCACAACTTCCATCATAAACGTCTTCTCCTCCATTCATGGATGGACTCTACTGTTTGTTCAATGAATATTGATGATCCCAGGCATTGTTCTTGGCCCCAGACATTCAGAAGTGACAAAACCGATGCCCTGCTCTCATGGAGCTTAAGTTCTAGTTGTGGGAGGGGGTGGGAACAGACAATAAATAAACATGTTAAGAGGTGCTAAGTCATACAAAGAAAAATAAAGCAAGCATTGGGAGTACAGCAGGATGGAGGTGGGGGAGGCTGCTATGTTAGACAGCGTGGTTGTTAGGCCTTTCTCATTAGGCAACGTTTCAGCTGAGACTTGAACAGAGAGAGGCAGCAAGTCAGTCAGATATGTGTGGGCAGCATATCCCAAGCAGAGGGAACAGTCATACAATCTTGGAGGCTACAAGGTGCTTGGTATGTTCTGCAAAGAGTTAAGAGGTCAGTGTGCCTGGAGAAGGTGCAGCAAATGGGACAGTGATGGCCATAAGGCCAGGGCGGTGGCAGACAGCCAGATGGTGTGGAGTCTTGCAGGCCACGGTAAGAATGTGTGGGTTTTGCATTTTACTTAGAGTGAAAAGAGAAGAGATTACAGATTGTTGTGCAGAGAGGCAACATGATCTGATTTATATTTTTTAAAAATTTCTCTGTGGAGTATATATTGGGGGAGGGGAGCAAGGGTAGAAGCAGGGAGAACTATTAGGAGGCTATTATACTAGTCCAGTGAGGGATGATGATGGCTGGAATTACCATGGCAGCAGTGGAAGTGGCAGAAGTGAGAATTCTGATTATATTGTAAAGATGCTGTCCGCAGGGTTTGCTAGTGGACTGGGTGTGCAGCAAGAGAGAAAAGAGGGGACAACGAGAACTACATCAACTAGGAGAGTGAGAATGGTGATGTCATTCCTAAGAAGGGGAAGCCTACAAGAGGAGTTAGTTTGGCAGAAGGGAAAATAATCAAGATTTGTTTTAGACATGGTAAGTTTGAGCTGCCGGTTAGAAATCTAAGTGGAGATGTTGAGGTAATTTAATATGTAAGATTCAATTTCCCCACCTGTAAAAAGTTCAAGAGAAAGATTTGGGCTGGAGATAGAAATCTGGACATCATTAGGGAAAAGACTGAATGTGCAAGGTTGCTGGACTTAGCAAATAAAAATAAAGGACTAAGAATTTATTGGTTGCTTATCTGAAATTCAAATTTAACCGGGAATCCTGTAGTTTATCTGTCAGTCCCATGGGTGGGGCTGGCTGAGATGACATAGAAAATTAGTGTGGATAGAGGGCCCAAGAATTGAGCCCTGGGGCACTACAATGTTAAAAGATCAGAAGGAAGAGGAAGAAGCAGAAAAGGGAAATCAGAAACCAGACTGTTCCAGGAACCAAGAGAAGAAATTGTTATAAGAAGGAAGGGAGTGATCAACTATGCCAGATTCAACTAACAGCATTATAGATTTGATAAAATGGGGGTGGCAGGGGAGAAGGAAAGTTTGATTGGAATGGGTTTGAGAAAAAAATGGGAAGAGAGAAACTAGCAAGAACAAGGACAGACACATTTATAGGGCAGTAGCTGCAGGGTGATTTGGGGTCAAAATAGGTGGGGCTTTTTGAGATAGTGGTCAGCAGCTGGGGCAGGTGACTGAAATGGTGTCCTGTCCCCAGAGTGGCCATGCACCAAGAAGTTGGTACTCTCCTGGTACACAAACACAGAGCTTCAGCATCCAGGTAAGTGTGGAAGAGCCACAGTGGGTCCCGGACCAAGAGTGTCCAAGATGTGCGCAGTACAACATCAAGTTTGACTTTATCCCCCAGAAAGCACCACTGCCTCTGGAGTGGAAAGTGCTTCTGCATAGGTCCCTTGCCCGAAGATATCTGGTGAACCCTCTATGGCTAAGCCCAAAGGTTACTATTTTCTGTGACTCTCAAAAAATCAGAGAAATTGGAAACAATGGTTTGTTGCCTTTTTAGTAATCAGAGACCTTGTTTCTACATACAGATAGCCATTGTGAAACTGAAATTACTTATTTCTACTGCTCAGATACTTAGGGCATCAAAGCATCAACAACAGGTCCTAGGAATATTCTTGCAGTATTCAGTGGCATGAACAGAGGATCTGACCCAGATGAAGGGGGCACCTGGTGGAGAATGGAGGTCCAACAAAAGGTAGTCAGCAGCAGGATTGGCAACCACTTGCAGGGCAACCAGGTGCTTCCATGAATCATGGGAATAGAAACTCCAGCAGCATGGGATGAGAGGCCGCAATGAGTCTGGTAACCTGCACTGACAAAGCCAATTTGGCACTATGCACCTGCACCCTGTATCCTTATAGACAATGGATCCTATCAGTGCTGAGAAATACAATTCAAAAATTTGTGGAAACAGAGGTGTCAGAGTCCTTAGGCAGTATGTATGTATTTTATTATTCATCTATCAGCTTCACCTTTAAGAATGTGTAGATTATCTTTCTGACACTTTCTTGGGAGTGGGAAAGTCTAAGCTATACTGCTCCTGAACTAACTTTAACATTATCTGTATCAAAGTTATATAATTTCCTAAGTTTACTAGAAGTTGGTGGCCCATCAATGTGCATTTTACTAATTCTTTCACAGAAACCTGGTAATAGCTCCTGTTTCTGCTTCATGTTGGAGTCTATTCAGTTTTAAATATAACAATTAACAAGGTTTGCTTTAGCTTGTTTTACAGAATGTCTGTTTACTATGTCACTAATTTTGGGCTTTGTACAAATGTTTTATACTTCACCAAGAGAAATAATCCAGCTTCATGTTTTGTACCTTTTCACATAATATTTCCCCTTATTAAAATGACTATATAAAAGTTTGTTTATAAAGCTTTTGACCAACACCTATGTTGAAAAATTATTAAAAGATGGAATTTTGCAATATGTTTTTATGCTGGTGGTAATGATCAAGTAAGGAGAGAGAAGCTGGCCATGCAGGAAAGATAATGTGAAATTGTTGAAGTGTTGTCCTTGAGTAAGTGAAGTTGGGGGATGTGCAGAATCCAGTATACAACTTGAAGGATTCTCCTTCTGAGGCACAGGGATAGTTCACCCACTGCAAGAACAGTAGAAACTGGTTTGTGGATACAGATGCAGCTAGATTATGGGTTCTGGTGTGAAAGCCTGTGAAATTTCTCTTCTGATTGCTTGTAAACTCTTAGTGAAATAAGAAATTAGGTCATGAGGCAAAAGTGAAGAGTAGGGAGGAATGTTAGAGGTTGGAGGGAAGAGAAGACAGTATGAGATGTTGGTCTAGCAGGGAGGGAGGGTATGAATTGACTAGGGAGATGCTGTAAGATTGCCTCACCTCATGATCCACCTAAGGTTTGTGGTAACGAACTCAGAATAGGATGATGGGAATAGAAAGGAGCAAGAGAATTGAAGATGCATGTGAAAAAATTACTCTGGTAGTGGGCTATAGAGTCTAAGCTTATGCTATGGTCTGAATGTCTGTGTCCCACCAGAACTCATATGTTGACACCTAATCCCCGATGTGCTGGTATTAATAAGTGGGACTTTTGGAAGGGGACTAGGTCATGAGGGTGGAGCCCCTGTGATGGGATTAACGCCCTTATGAAAGTGGCCTGAGGGAGCTTGTTCGCTCCTCATAGATGGTGCCCTCTTGCTGTGAGGATGCAGCAGAGAGCCCTGACTAGACTGAGTCTGCCAGCACCTCCAGCCTCCAGAACTGTGAGCAATAAATTTCTGTTGGCTATACATTACCCAGTCTAAGGTATTTTGTGATAGCAGCCTGAATAGAATAAGATAGCCTATTAAGGAGGGAAGTAAAGACAGGAGGGGAGGAAATGATCAGTGCAAAGGTGATAGGGACAAGGGTCCAGGAGTTGTTGGAATCAGAGTATTAGAGGGAATGCGCTGGAAAAATAGGAGATGGTGGTAGAAGATCTGGATGTTTTAAATTGATATAATATGGGGTAGGGGGGCATTTCCATAAACACTTTCATGACTTGCCATTATTTCTAAGGCCAAATAAAAATCAACTGGATGTTGCCTAAGAATCCTGCACAAATGGTGATGAGCGTGTTTCAAAAATCTCCCCCTCCTCCCTCTCTTCCTTTCTTTCCCCCTTTTTCTCCCAAACTCTATACAGCCCCCATTCCATTGAGACTTTTCCTCTCTCTGTTTCTCTCTACTTTCTCTCTTATAATTTTGAAAAGGAATATAACTGCTCAAATTTGAGTTTAACTGAAACAGACGGAAACGAATGCCTGATGAAAGAGCATCTCTCCATAGTACTGAAGATGTAGAAAAAAAAAACATAAAAAGAGCACGCTGCTGATAGAAGCTGAGAGAAAGAACACAAGAAATAGTTGTCTCTGACATTTAAGCAAGCCTGATGCTGGGTGTTTTTAGATTTATGTGACTGATAAATAATACAAGTTTCCCTGTAGAGGACAAATCCAAGTGAAAAATAACTGACGAGAAGAGAGGTATGTGGTTAGTAGTCTCAACAGGAAAGCTGAGCTATCCTGAAATTCAAGATATAAAATGTCTATTTTTTACCTAGAATATTGTACCCTTGGCAATTAAATTGTTTTCCAATTGCCTCATCTCACTTTCTCTGAAAAGCCAATAATGGATTTAAATCTCTATCCAGGTAAACTGAGGTCCTACCTATTAGGGAAGAAAAGTTTAATTCACTTTTAGAAGGGGTTAACCTTGAAATATTCCTTCATTAAGAAAATTTTTCTACTTTTCAAAACCTTTCTATTTTCTTTCTCATTCAAACATTTCAGCAAAATTCTTCTCTGCATCTGGCATTTCCAAGCAGGGGAGCATTTCTCAGAGAAGGGGTGTGGAGATTGCTGTCCTTTTCCCCAAGAGTGATCTGATTTCAAAAGTGGGAAAAAAAAAGCCATTCTTCTTCTTTTTTTTTTTTAATGAGGGAGAACACAAAGGAAACATCAGGTGAGACAATCTGGAGACATGAAGCTGCCTGAAACATCTGGGGCGCTGCAAAAAGAAAAATTTCTTTCTAACTTTTAGGTTCAGAGGGTACATGTGCAGGTTTGTTACATGGGTAAATTGCATGTTGAGGGTGACTGGTATACACATTTCATCGCCCAGGTAATAAGCATATTACCCACCCTGCTCTGGCCCACCAGCCCCACTCCCTGGGTACAGAGTCACACCCACTCACCCTTCCACCAACAGTCCAGGTCACACAACAGCAGTCAGTGTAATAGACTGCTACATAAACACTCAGTCTCACAATCACCTGTGGGTTTTTGGTTCCATTCAACTTGGGTTTTTAACTTTACAGGGTCAGCTCTGCTTCACCCCTGCTTTTGTATGGAGTTCCATCTGGGGGGATTTCGCCCCCTGTTCCAGTCCTGAGGCCTCCTGACCCTGACATTGTGATACACTCCACAGAGATCTGTTTCTTACATTATTATTATTGGAAATAATTATTGTAATATTATTATGTAATAAATTTATAAGAAAAAATCCCAACAGGATTCATTTTTACACTAAAAATTGAATATTTTGACATTTGTATTTAATAGAAGAAATGCAAATAGTTGTAAATGTATGAAAAGATGTTCCCCATCACTAGAATGCATTCATTTAGTTCATATAGTGCTTAATATATGTCAGGCACTGCTCTAAGCACCAGGCATCATTCTAAGTCTTTGCAAATGTTATCTCAATTAATCCCAATAATAATCCTATGTGGCAAGTGGTATTATTTTCCCCATTTTTGATGGGAAAGATGAAACTGAAGCACAGAGAATTTATGTAATTTGTGAAGACCACACAGTATGCAGCTAGTACACTGCACAGCCAGGGAACTGGGTCCTAGGTCCATGCTGTTAAGATACTATGCCATGCAATCTTGCCAGGGAAATGCAGGTTCAAACATGATACCATTTTCTACCCATCAGGTCGGCAAAAAAATTTAAATATTGGTAACATCAAGTGCTGGTAAGGATGGGGGCAAATAAATCCTCATATATTCACTCATATATTGTTGCAGCATTTTTTGAAGGTAATCCTGCAGTATGCACTAAAACTTAAAGTACATAAAACCCTCTGTGCAACATTCCACTTTGGGTACTCTAGCCTACAAGAATAAAAGCATCAGTAGAAAAGGCATAATGAAAGTGCAGCATTGCTTGTGGTGATGGCAAAACTGGAAATAAGTGTCTATCACAGGAGCTATGGCTGAATAAATTAAGTTAAGTTACATTCATATTATGGAATAGTATTCAGCTATTATGTGAGTTCAATCTGTATCTCTTGATCCAGAGAAAGTTGCAGTACTGTGTACAATACAATCTCACTTTTTTGTGTGAATTTTTTTAGCCTATTTGACAGTTACCTGAGGAAGTAGGATAGAGCAGAGGAATTACCATCTATATATGTTTATGAATTGTTTGACTTTTTATATAAGCTCATATTGTCTTTACAATTTAAACATCTAATTAAGTTAAAAATACTTATAAATGTAAACATAATAACCAGCCTAGAAAATATGTTTTAGATCTTCAGCTTCACATAGAAAATTATATGAATAATATAGCTTTTCAAATCAAGTGGGAAAGACTCAGATTTGTATTTATAGATACCTCTTACACGTAGGCATTGCAACTTACAGTTTTCAGCAATTACAGAATAAACATTAATTTTCTTTAATGGGCATTTCTGGAAACAGAAAGCAAGAAGGAATAATTTGTTCATTCCTTGTCTAATAGTGTAACTAGACAAAGGAGAGTAATATCACTTTTAAAATCAGTGTATGCTCTACAATCTCTGTGTCTATTCCTTCCGTTCACACTCAAGTATAGAGAGAAGCCATGTTTAGGAGGAAAGTAGAGGGGCTGGTGACATTGAAAGGTTTAAAAAACCCCTCCTTTGATAAAAGGGGAATTAGATACACATTTCTCTGGCTTTAAGTCCCTCTTTCTATGCTCCACGTTGTGTGCAAAGCTCAAAGAAGTAAAGTTGAAATCTGAACTAGTGGCTGAAAATGTTGAGTGCAGCAGGGGTGACAAACAGGAATCTGCCAGCATCATTTGATTTCTGGTTGTGTTAACCACAGGCCCTTCCTGGTCTGGTGAAATTTAAAGTGCTGCTGCCATCTTCAGGAGTTCCCCATTGTCATATTTAAGTATAGTTACAAGTAAGTTGTTTACAGCCTCATAACCCTCTGTGGGAGTTCAGAACCTCAGCTAGAAAACAGACACTCCAGGTGACTGCTAAACTGAAGGAAGCTTAAAGATCATTACCTGTAAGGCAGCTTTTAGTGTGTGTGTTTAATGTTATGAAATGGTATGTTTCTCCCTTTGAGAGGTAATACGAATTAAGATTTAGGGTCCAAAAAAGGACATGACCGAGAAGTGAGCCAAGACTTTAAAAAATAATGGGGGAGGAGGGTTAAGTTATAACACTATAACATTTTGGAAGCATCTACTGGCTTTGAAGACCTATTGAGTCAATCTCCCTGAGGACCACATGTTCAATTTCTACGGCAAACATTAAGTTTAGAGAACATTTGGTCAAAAGGAATCTGTGAGCTTCCATTTTTATATTATTTACTGAGAATTCTGAGCCTGTCTATCTTCTCAGATTGTTTGAGTTACAGATAATTGATAGGAAAGGCCAAATTGTCCAACAGTACTCTCAGGATGAAGCTCTACTTCTTTCCCAAAAATAATTCGACTTCATCACTTAGTGAAGAAAAATTAATGAAGTCCTAAGATGAAAATAAGGCCATCACACTATTTTTCTTCTTGATGATTAGAGATGCTGATACCCACAAATGGTCGTGGAAGTCCGTGAGAATGTGTATATCCCTGGTGGCCCTCAGGGAGGCAGTTGTCCGATCTTCAGGTCATGATACTACAATGTCATAAGCAAATGCTTTTTTTGAGACATTGAAGTTTTCATAAAGCTCACTTCACATTGTTCTTTTTTGTTTACTCATCATTTTAGGCAATCTTAAGTTCTCATAGCAAGTTGGAAAGTACCTTATACAGCCCATTTTTGCTGCTGATTTACATTATTAAAGCAAAGAGTAAAATTCCTTTAAAGTCACCTTTAGAAAAATTTCACATCATTTTAGGAGATATCCAAGTTTCCTTTCATCACAAATAATTAAAAAGTGGATATGGCATCACGCTACCTGACTTCAAACTATACTACAAGGCTACAGTACCAAAACAGCATGGTACTGGTACCAAAACAGAGATATAGACCAATGGAACAGAACAGAGCCCTCAGAAATAATGCCGCATATCTACAACCATCTGATCTTTGACAAACCTGACAAAAACAAGAAATGGGGAAAGGATTCCCTATTTAATAAATGGTGCTGGGAAAACTGGCTAGCCATATGGAGAAAGCTGAAACTGGATCCCTTCCTTACACCTTATACAAAAATTAATTCAAGATGGATTAAAGACTTACATGTTAGACCTAAAACCATAAAACCCCTGGAAGAAAACCTAGGCAATACCATGCAGGACATAGGCATGGGCAAGGACTTCATGTCTAAAACACCAAAAGCAATGGCAACAAAAGCCAAAATTGACAAATGGGATCTAATTAAACTAAAGAGCTTCTGCACAGCAAAAGAAACTACCATCAGAGTGAACAGGCAACCTACAAAATGGGAGAAAATTTTTGCAACCTACTCATCTGACAAAGGGCTAATATCCAGAATCTACAATCAATTCAAACAAATTTACAAGAAAAAACAAACAACCCCATCAAAAAGTGGGTGAAGAATATGAACAGACACTTCTCAAAAGAAGACATTTATGCAGCCAAAAGACACATGAAAAAATGCTCATCATCACTGGCCATCAGAGAAATGCAAATCAAAACCACAATGAGATACCATCTCACACCAGTTAGAATGGCAATCATTAAAAAGTCAGGAAACAACAGGTGCTGGAGAGGATGTGGAGAAATAGGAACACTTTTACACTGTTGGTGGGACTGTAAACTAGTTCAACCATAGTGGAAGTCAGTGTGGCGATTCCTCAGGGATTTAGAACTAGAAATACCATGTGACCCAGCCATCCCATTACTGGGCATATACCCAAAGGACTATAAATCATGCTCCTATAAAGACACATGCACACGTATGTTTATTGTGGCACTATTCACAATAGCAAAGACTTGGAACCAACCCAAATGTCCAACAACGATAGACTGGATTAAGAAAATGTGGCACATATACACCATGGAATACCACGCAGCCATAAAAAACGATGAGTTCATGTCCTTTGTAGGGATGTGGATGAAGCTGGAAATCATCATTCTCAGCAAACTATCGCAAGGACAAAAAACCAAACACCGCATGTTCTCACTCATAGGTGGGAATTGAACAACGAGAACACATGGACACAGGAAGGGGAACATCACACTCCGGGGACTGTTGTGGGGTGGGGGGAGAGGGGAGGGATAGCATTAGGAGATATACCTAATGCTAAATGATGAGTTAATGGGTGCAGTACACCAACAAGGCACGTGTATACATATGTAACAAACCTGCACATTGTGCACTTGTACCCTAAAACTTAAAGTATAATAATAATAAAATAAAATAAATACATAAAATAAATAAAAAGAAAAAAAACAAAATGAAGTGTCAGGAAAAATTTAAAAAAAAGTGGATATGGAATGAGATGATTATAATATGTATCTAGCACCATGATAGATATATCATCAGCATGGCACTTCAGAAACTTTGCTGTATATAGCAGATTGTTTGTGTCTTCTGAAATTTTCCCTTGGAGTTATTCATTTCTTCAACAAAGACTCTCTAAGGGCCTTTTTAATATACTAGGTATTCTGCTAGGCACTTCTTATATGTTATGTCTGCATTCTTTATGATGATTCTATAAAGATCATGCTCTCCCGTCTAGAAGATAAGGAAACTGAGATACAGCTAGTGTAAGTGATAGGCACATGTCACATAGAATTGGAACACAAATGTGCCTTGCTCTTGTGACTATACTGTTTGCACAATAGCATCACCAAAGACAATAAAGAGTTTTCTTCCTGAGCTCTCTCCTGTCTCCTATGATTATGAAACAGTCATTCAATGAATATTTGACTCTTTGCTACAGTCAAGGCATTGTGAATTTTATTAATATAACACTTAGAGAGGAAAAAATAAGTCAAGCCTAAAATTAGACTCTAAAACAAGCAGTAGTTATAAAAATGGAAAGTATGACTCAAAGCATATTGAGCTATTTGTGCTCACTGCCACGGGGGGCATTGCTGACTTATAAGTGGAAGAACAGGTGAATAGATTGCACACTGGAGAAATTCCATAAGGTGAATATAATTTTAAACTCATCCACAACACCACATAGGAAAAAAATATTAGGTAAAAACCTAAGACATACAGAAATGCATTTAGCTGCAATATGGCAGGGGGCAAGCTATAGATTAGGATTTTTATTTCTATATTCCTTTGTAACCCTATTACATCTGACCACTCAAACCTTGAAATGGGTAAACAAATGAGCCCTTGCAAAATTTACCCCTTCTTGTTTTATATGTAAGGTTATTGCTATTTCTGGATTTCAGTGTCTATAGCCTTAATTCAATGTTAGGGTAAATCTGGCCATGTTCAATTTCATTGCACTTGCTACTCTGTCTGTTCTTCCTACTGAGTTCTAAATGGCCCCAGACTCAGAAGTTAAACAGTGAAGCCACCATCTCAGCCCAATGCCTGCAGAAGTCTCTGGTGCCACTACACAGCTGCTTACGGCTTAATGAACCACTTTTGAGTGTGCTGCTAAATGAGGTTGCAAAGAGCGAACCATTTCTAACGGCATCAACCTTTCACTTGAGGAAAGGGGTGCTTCTCATCATTTACCAGACTTTACCTGAAGGATAAAAACACACCAAGACTTTCACTTTTGGGTAAACCAGCAACTCTTCAGGGAACAGATCTATGTCTTTGCATGCTGATCTGATTTTCTGCTTTAGCGGTCATCATTAACATTAATGCGAAATTGGAAGGTGAGACATTGGGGTCCTCAGGCAGAAAGTCAGCACAAAAGACTGAATGTGAATAAGCCAGGATGGATGGGCCAGACTTAGTACTATTGATGATAAAAACTGTACATTGCTCAGGTGCTTTTTGAGGAGCTCAAACACGACCCAGACTCAGACTAACAGCAGTGAAATCAGCAGTCCTATAATAACATTACATATACAAAAATGAAAAGTTGGGGAAATTATTTGGATTTTTGCCAAGGGATGGACTCCATACTCAAGGGGCCCCTCCACCCTAGAACTGCTAAGGACATTTGTCTGAGACTCTTGCTAGAAACTGCCCCAGACATTATAAATGTTCATTTTTTTCTATTATCTCAATATTCTATCAACATGTATAGAACAAAACATCATCTGTGGCATCCCCAGCCACATGCTCCTTAGCTCACTTGATTATATCTCAATTATTCCAATGTCTCCAGCTTCAAACAGTAGGATCTTCCTACCCTTTCCCTTGGCCTCTACATTCAGGGTCATCAGGTCTTCCTCAGTAAGGTCCATCTCATCATCTTTCCACCTGCCTTTCCCCTTGTCCGGACTCTCACAGTTGCACTTCTGGTCCTATACTTACTTGACCCTTAACCAGTCTCCTGGCATACTTCACCTGTATAGCACAAATTAACTTTCCTAATGTGCCACACTATCCCATTCAAACCTTATCTGTGGTTCCCATGTCTTCAGAGTAAAGTTTTGACTTACCCTGATATTTAAAGGCTTCCAGGATCATCCTAGTAAAGGGCCTCAACTATAATACTTCCCCCTATACTGACACTGCTTGAAGCAGACCAGCCTCTCCTCCTGTCCCTAGAACAGGCTACATGCACTTCTGTCTCTGCACTATGATTCAGGCCATTCTCCCTGTCTCTTCTCTTATGTAAATCCTTCTTCTTTTCAAAAATTCAGCTTACACGAATGACCACCACCCTCCCAGTAAACCTCCCAAGTTCATCTTCTCTGTTCTTTTCTTCTAAACACTATTGCTTTATTTATCTTAGTATTTCCCAAAAGAATTTACAGCTGACTCCTGCAGAAATTGCTGAATGTGCCACTCATTTACCAGTTTTCATAATAATAGCAGCTAATATCTATAGTGCTTACTATACTCTATGCTCTGTATACTACTTTCATATATTAACCTATTTAAAACTCACAGCAACCCTGTGAGGCAGATACTATTATTATCCCCCTTTTACAAATAAGGATTGAAAGTTTATGTAACTTTCCCAAGGTTACCCAGCTGGAGAACTGCAAAGCCAGGATTTTGACCCAGTCACTCAGCTCCAGAAACTGTGTTCTTTATAGATAATCTTGTATTATTCATTAACTTTTTATATCTACTCCCGTCTTCCCAATCAGATTCTTTAAGGGTAGTTACTACATCTCCTGTCTCATTTTATCCCTTCCTGTAGCCACTATAAAGTTTTGCACATGGTTAGTTATTACCGTTTGCTGTCCATGTCTGCCTTAAAGTTGTCTTAAATTCTTTCTGGGGAAAAAGGTGAAATATAAATGATCAAGAAGCTATGGAGGTTTCTTGCACATCAGTCTCCCTGAAAATCTATGACCAGACCTTACAAAGACTTTTGTCATCTTCCTTGAACCAGATAGTCTGGAAAACCTAACTTTACAGAATGAATGAATTTTAGTAAGGGCTAAAAAGTGAATTCCATGCTCTCCTACCCTCTGCTTCACATACACCAAGTTTCAGCATATTAAAAATTATTTTCACAGGGAAAACAATTCTGAAGAAAATAATTCTCAAATGCATTAAATACAAAATTATTTTTGCAGAAGGTTTGGGGAGGGAAGTCAGACTTTTGAAATGCTGGTTTGTAATGTTATCCTAAAAGAACTTTTTGCAACATTTCAATTTGTAGAATGTATCATTCTAAACGTATGATTGCCTATGAGGTCAGGAACCTTGTCTGATAACACATTTATATTGTTCAGAGCACCTAGCATAGTGATAGGCACATATTAGTTTTTAAAAATTTCTCTGAATTGATTTTCCCAAATTATTTTGCCATCACTGCTTTTCCCAGAATATATTAATTTCTTCCAAGCCTATGGATTCCCCTCCTCAAGCCTTCCAGCTCCTGCCAGCTTTGTTCTCTTTGTTCATCTTCTTCTGGGCCATTGCACTGTCTACTTGAGTTAGCCTGTAATATCATATTTGCCAGCAGGTGCTGCCATTTGCCACAGGATTTGCCAATTTTCAAAATTCCCTAAATCTGAGACTCCAGATTGTGTAAAATAGTACAGTGCCTAATTTATCAACTTGGCAGGTTTGAAGTGCTATAAAATCAGTTACTTAAAATGAGTGATACTTGTGCTGCATAATTTTAATGAGCAGAGCTCCACTGCTCTATTAAGACAACAGGGGACCACATTGAGAAAACAAGCAGCAAGAATGTGAGGTTAAAAGAATAACAGGAAAACCCAGTGGGGACAACATGTTCAATAAACAACTGACTTTCTCATTGACTCATCTTAGTATCTTTCATATCTGTCCTTCATTTCCATTTCCACACGAAGTCAGCCCTTTATTACCTCATATGAAAATTAATCCAGTATCTGTAGGTCTTTTCTCCCTGTCCCCAGGCTCTTCCCACTCCTAGCCATCTTGTGTATTGCTGGAATAACCCTCCTAGCATCACACTAAAAACCTTTAATGATGTCCAAATGCCATCATCAAGGCAGTCCTCTGCAGTGTGGCACACCAGGCCCAATAATGCAGTCTCAAATTACCTGTCCAAGCTTACTTTCAATTGTTCCCAGATTCTCCACTTTGACAAGGCAGGGGTTTGTATTCTTCCCTGCAGATAAACTCATTTCCATCTTAGTACCTTTGTGTCTGCTAATCTACCACCTTCCTTCTCTTAATTCCTTAGTCACTGCTATTGCTATATTAATTTCCCAGGAGTAACTAAATGCATGGAATATTGCTGGTTCATATAAACCCTTCTCCCACTATCCCTGGGAACATCTGGAATACAGGACAAGTATTCTACAACAAGACAGTATTAATGAAATACAACACTCTATAACATTTATATAATGCATTAAATAAGTAGACAACATGCAGATAATTCCTGGGAGATGTCGGTCAGCACAAGCCCTTCTATGTACCCACAGTCATTTTTGCATTCCCAGCTGAAATGTGATTTTGAAGCAGTCTCATCTCAGGACTTGTCTTGACTGCACGAGTGGAATCTCAGAGGTAGCTGGCAAATCCTCTGCTCCATGTAAAGCACCATGTTTCTTCTCTGCAGCCCAACCTGCGGTTTCCTAATCTCCTGACTTCCTGAAAGTCACAGGCTATACTATGTTGTTGTCTGCCCCACTGCTCTGGACCTAAGGCACGGAAATCATAGCATCCACTGGTATCACCAGAGGGAAGGGTGCTCCCAGAATGTTCCCCTTTTCTATATTTTCATATGCTGACCAGACTCACTTTCCAATTCCAGGTAGTCCTCTAAGGGTTTTCCTGCCCTCTCAGTCAGCCAGCACCTCTCTGTCTCTTCTATGATACACCCCTGATTTCCCGTTTTGGGATGAAATATGGTCTATTTAGAATGAGAACCAAAAGGTTTAGATTCAAGTTCTAGTTCTGCTACTTCCTAGCTGATGTATTTGAACCTCTGTTTCCTCAGAGGTAAAATGGAAATGATAATTTCTACAAATCTGAGAAGTGAGCTCAAAAAGGAGTAATACATGTGAGGTACATTGAAAACTATAAAGTGCCATATGCAAGTAAGATGACACGTATTTCTGCACTCAGTAGCAGGCACAAACGTATAGTACACATCCTGAGGCGGAGATATTAGGAACAAAGCTAAAACCCTGGCAGGAAGGAAGTACTCCCTGGACGATTTTTTTTTAACCTCGGTAGGTTACAGAACCAAGACTTCATCCACCAGCTCTATCTGAATGCCATCTAGTGGACACAAAGTTTTTGTGAGAAGTACTGCAGACATAAGTGATGGTTCATAAGGCATTAGCCTCTGTTGGTATTGCTAATACACAAGGTAAGCTTTCACCTTAGCTGGACACCTATGAGGTTCAATATAAAGAATTCCAGGGAAGGTCCTGATTTGTGATTCTCACTCCAGCCCCCATGACACCCAAAATTTCATCATCAGAGCTTCATATTTTTCCCGAGCATCAGGGGATTTTAACTCTTCCAATGTCTTTTATCAAAATTGAAAGGCCCATGGGCGAACATGCCCTTAGATCTCTTTCATCTCATACCTCAGCAGATTTTAGCTGAAGGTAAATGAAAAAGATCTTACAGGAATAGAAATCAAGAAGGGCAGGGCAAAGTGGAGGACCTTGGAGAAATATGAGAGGGTCAAAGAGACCGGGGTAACCAAAAACAAACTCCATACTCTCCCTAGCTTTGCTTTCACCAGGTCTTGTTAATCAAATGTTGTTTGGCTAACTTTAATTCTTTTTGCATCCTGCAGCTTACAATTAGCCTTGATGGCTGATGAAGCCCATATTCAAGCAAAAGTAGAAAGAATGCATTTTTTTAAGTTTTAAATTTATCTCTGAAGCCATCTCAGCACATACAGGGGCTGCAGGCAGGGAGTAGTCAGTGGTGGCAGAGGAGACTGCTTTGTGGTTTGCATCCAAAGTCAATGGGGCTTCCCACTAGCAGCCCTAGCTTAGCAGCATGGCACTGGAGGCATGCCCCTTTGGAAATGTGTTGGAGCCCTGCTTAGCTGTGTCTGCTCCTCCTCAACGTGCTTCCTTTTCTATCTACAGTATTTAGAAAGATGAGAGACAACGCTGCGAAGAACACAAAGGCTTTTGCAAACTGTCTCTGGCTTCATATTCAAAGCTGTTGCTATCAGGGTTGGATTTAGCAACTTGGCATTCACTTGGTAGGACCACCCCTGTTGGCAGCCATCTGGTGTCTTTTGGAGAATTTTTAAAGAGCACAGCTTGAAGAGCATTTTGTAGTGGAGAAAGCTTTGGTGTTCAATTCAGGAAGCCTGGGTTTGAGCCCACCACCAGTAGCAAAAGTGATCTTGGTTGATCCACCACCTCCTCTTTGAACCTCTGGTTTGTTTTTAATCAGTTAAGCGATTTGTCAATTTCCTGCAAGATCCAATAGTCTAGGGCAGAGGTTCTCCAAGTGTGGTCACAGGACCAGCAGCATCAATATCACCTGGGAACTTAATTTGAAATGTACATTCTCAGTCCCCACTTTAGTCTCCTGAATCAGACTCTCTGGGGATAGGACCCAGCAGTCTGTGTGTAAAAAACTCTCCAGTAACTCATATACACAGTCACTTTTGAGAACCACTGCTGTAAGGTTTTATTATTCTCCTTCTGCTGTTTCTTCTTTGGGTGTTCCTTGGCAACACTAATTTGCAATTGGTCAAAGATGTGTTGGAAGTCAAGGAAGGCATTCACTTGCAAAAGTCAGCTAACCAGGTAACCAGAGAGATCCAAATCAGAGTGTGGACATGGATCCTGAGGGAGAACCCTCCATCACTTCTCTAGGCCCTTCCATGGCCAAAGTTCCAGAAAGCCCTTTCTGCCCACAGTACAGACATCTTCTTGGCTGTGTTCTTGCAGCGCATTTTACAACGTCAAAAGTAGCAAAAGCAAAAGTGTTTTTTTGTTAATGACGCCAACCTCTCTATTGACTATTTTTGTCTCTAATCCCCATAGATACTTGTCATTTAGTGCTGGGCAAGGAAAATTACTTTCTTCATTTTAGTGTTTTGTTTTGCCCTCTACCTTTTTTGACAGCTCTTCATTTCCTCTAAGTTATCAGGGACAACCTACAAGTATGGTGCTGGGTTCCACAAGGGAACTGTGGTTTCCTAGCAACAGCCAGAGACTGCTGGGCCATTCTCTGAGTCACCAGCTCCAGGCAGCTCTTGATAAGCAGCATTGCTTGCAGAAAAAACCTCTGTGGACCCCACACAGGAGCCTGCATGCACATGTCTCCTTCGAAGGGCTATGGGATCTATACAGAACAGATCAGCAACAGGTTGTAAAGAATGACATAAATAGGTGCTCTTTATTCTAAGGTAAATGGATCTTGCTTCTTGATTATTCTTTGGGGTGTTGAAGAAGGAAAAGAATAATGAAGGAAAGTAAAAGCAGAGGGAAAAAGAAAGGAAGAGAGGGAGGAAAGGAGAATTTTTTTCAACAAACATCCCCTAAGCATGTACTGCTGTATCCTTTAGCTAGATTCTAGGATGAAAAATCACATAAGACATGGTTCTTGCCCTCAGGATGCTAATAGTTTAATGGGGGAAATGGTTCAGAATATTCAATTTGCATTTCATCATGATAGATGTCATACAGGAGAATTACTGGTTCCATGACAGAGTATAACTGCAGGACATCATGAACCATAATGAGGCCTTCTTTAATTTTTTTAAAATCACTATAAAATTATCCTTTTTTTTGAGATTTTCAAGTGTACTAAGTAATACATAGTATAGCTTTAATAATATTTTTGATCTCAAGATCTGTGATTATATTACCATTCTTATTCTTAATGCTGTGTATTTGGATATTTTTGCTACTTTTTTTGTAATAAGGTTTTCCAAGAGTTTGTGTCTTTTATTGATCTTTTTGAAATAGGTTGTTGGTAAATTTATCAATTCTACTATTTGTTTAAATGTATTGTTATTTTTATTGATTTCTTTCTCTTGCTTTCCTAAAATTATATAGGCTTTTTTATGTCCTCTTGAATTGAGGCCATAATTGAATCCATGTATTTTCATTTTTCCTGTGTATTAATAAAAGCACTTAAAGCTGTGAATATCTCTGATTTTAGGTTTGGCTGCTGCCATATGTCTTACTATGAACCATTATTCAATATTCTTATTTACTTTTGTTTGCTTGTCTATCAAAGAGATTAAAGTCACCCCCTATGATTATGGTTCTTTGAATTTCTCTTCGTATTTCTAAGAGATGTTTATATATATATGATGCCATACTGCTTAGCACCTAGAGTTTCAATGATTTCTATGTTATGAATTATACTCGTTAGCAATAAAAATGAAAAAGGAAAGAAGGAAGGAAGGAAGGAAGGAAGAAACCCTTTCTCATCTAATTTAATGGCCTGATCCTTTAATTCTACATCATCATCTGATATTGATTTTGTCGCTCCTGATTTACTTTTATTGCCCATACTTTCCTTTACTTTACATAGAAGTATGTTTTGTGTTTTGACCCAAAGTGCTTGGTCGAGGACCTGTTTGCCCTCTCATTTATTTTTTGTCATTCTTGCTCAGTTCTGCATCACAGTGGGGCCCCTACAGACTGTGTTAGCTGGCTTTCAACTGGGTTTGGCCAACAGAAAAAAACAGTAAGAGAAAAGGATAAACCAGGCTGTTTCTCTTCCCCTACCTCTCATGTGTTGTTTCCTGCAATAGCTACAGCTTTTCTCTGGCTCCAACTCCTGATAGATGGGCCTGTTCTGCTTCCAGATTCTGCCAAGTGACCCTAATAATTCTGCCTTCTCCCCTCATCTTTCTGCAAATTGCTGGTAGTGGCTTCCTGAGGCTGTAATCCCTAGGCTACCTCATTGTCTCCTCTTTAACTTCTATACTCTTCTATCCATTATGTAGCCAATTTCCTGCATTAAATTCCCTTTGTTTTAAATACTCAGAGTAGTTTCTGTTTTCCTGAATGAACCTTGATATACCCACTCTTTTTACTTTAGTATGAAAATTTAACCTACTCACTTTTGCAGCAAATACTGTGGGTTGGTTTACTTAGCACCCATTCCAAATTCTTTTTTTTTTCTTCTTTCCTCTAGTATAAAGGCTGCAAAGCCAAAAACTCTTTTGCAGCAGGCAAGACTTTGTGGAACAATGAGACCTAAGTAGAAGTCTACTGAGGATTTCTGGAAAAGTCTTGTTTTCTAAATATAGTTACTGCCCTTCCCTTTTCCAGCCCTTGTTTCTTTCTGTTTGGACACTGCACTTGATGGCTAGAGCTTCAACAGCCATTGTGAGCCTGTGAGGGAAAGGAAAATAGAAACAGTGAACTGAGCCCTGACCTCCCTGAGACACTGAACCAATGCCAACAACCTCCAGACTTCCTGTTACATAAGGAAAAGAAAGTGCTTATGTGTTTAAACCACTAGTAGGATTTTCTGTTATCCATAGCAGAATACAATTCCTTTTTTTTTTTTTTTTTTTTTTTTTTTTGAGACAGTCTCGCTCTGTCACCCAGGCTGGAGTGCAGTGGTGCGATCTCAGCTTACTGCAACCTCCACCTCCCGGGCTCAAGCAATTCTTACACCTCAGCCTCCCAAGTAGCTGGGATTACAGGCATGCGCCACTGTGCCCAGCTAATTTTTTTTTTTTTTTTTCAGTAGAGATGGGGTTTTGCTATATTGCCCAGGCTGGTCTCAAACACCTGGCCTCAAGTGATCCACCCGCCTCATCTTCCCAAAGTGTTGGGATTACAAGTGTGAGCCACCATGCCCAGCCTCAATTTCTAACTCAATATCTTTCCAAGGGATGTAATAGGCATTTGGAGCTGATCAATTCTTTATTTTATGGGAGCACACCTGCAAATTTCAGGATATTTAGCATCCCTGGCCTCAGACGCTAAATACCAGAAACACCATTCAACTACTGCACAAACCAAAATCAAAATCAAAATTTGTAAACAGATTTGCAAATGCCTTTGAAAATGACAGAGTATTACCCTCTCCAAAAAGCAATGCACATACACAGCACACATCAATTTTATTGTTGTTGTTATTAGTATAATTTTAGCAGTTACATGGACTTACTGCCTCGTCTCTAGAAACCCATCAGCTAATCTTCTAAAGGAAACATTTTTATAAAGACATAGGCTTAGATATTGATTATATTTCTGGGGGAGTATGAAAGGTTTTAAAAATAAACAAAGTACAAGAATAATAAAACAAACACCCATGTATCTACTATTCAGAATTAATAAATACTAAATTCTATCTCTTTGCTTAAATTTTTTTAAAGAAAGGAAGTAAAACATTATAGATAAAACTGAAGTTCTTTGTTGCAATCCACAGTCTCAAAACTCTTTGTCCTTCCTTTGTAGAGGTGATCACTATCATGAATTTGCAATATCTCCTTCTAATTCTTGTTTCTTTCTGTTATTAGCTATCTAAGCAGGCATATGAAATTCATAGTAATGCATGTATGACTCTGAGGGCTTGTTAACTCTTCATGAATATTAGCATGCTATACACACCATTCTACAATTTGCTCTTCTCTTAGTAACTATACGTTTTTAATATTCAGTTGAAACACAAATGCTATCCACTAATTTTAACTGATGTGTATTATTCAATTGTATGAATTAACCACTGTTATCTATCCCCTTTTATGGACACTTAGGTTGTTTCCATTTTTCACTATTATAAACAGTATCCAGTGAACATCCTTGGAGGCGTTCATGTGGGGAACATTTGTAAGTTTCTTTAGAGTATACAGCTGAAACATAGAGTATGCACATCTTTAGCTTTGCTTGATATTGCCAAATTCTTCAAATATTTAGTACTAATTTAAAGTCTCACTAATAGTGATATGGCTTGCCTCTGTGTCCCCACCCAAATCTTACCTCAAATTGTAATCCCCATAATCTCCACGTGTCAAGGGAGGGACCTAATGGGACATGATTGGATCACAGGGGCAGTTTCCTCCATGCTGGTCTCATGAAAGTGAGTTCTCATGAAAGCTGATGGTTTTATAAGGGGTTCTTCCCCCTTTATTCACCCTCTTGCCTGCCACCATGTAAGATGTGCCTGCTTCCCCTTCTGCCATGATTGTAAGTTTTCCAATGCCTCCCCAACCATGTGGAACTGTGAGTCAATTAAACCTCTTTTTATTTTATAAATTACCCAGTCTTGGGAATTTCTTTATAGCAGTGTGAGAACAGACTAATACAAACAGACTGAGTTTCTGTTTCCCCGTATACTCACCACTTGATATTGTGAGCCATACTGATCTTTAACAATCAGCTTGTTAATGAGAATTAGTATATCTTGGTTATTTTAATTTGTATTTTTCTGATTACTAATTAGGCTGAGCATCTTTTCTCTTTTTCATTTTTTTTAGTCACTTGGCTTTTCTCCAAATTGCCTATAAATTGTGGGTTTTTTTCATTTTTCTATTAAATTGTCCTTTTATTATTGATTCATAGGAATCTTTCATGTTTATTGATTAGAGAAATTTAGCAGACTTTTCATTCATTCATTAAGCACTTACTATGTGTCAGGCACTGTTCTAAGCCTGGGGCTAAAATAGTAAACAAATTAGACAAAATTTATGTCCTTGCAGAGCCCCTGTGCATGTCTTCTCCCTACTCTACACTCCTAAGTTTTTATCTAAATAAACTATCTTCTTAGATCCAGATTATCATTTTAACATTTTTTGCTGAATTTTATAATGTTAACCATTACACAAGTATACATATACTACACTAAATTTGACTGGTTCATTCCTTGCAAATAGTTCCGGGATGCTCTGGCTTCCTTCAATTTGAATTATTTATTTTTATTTCTTTCTTGAATTGCTATAGGACTTCTTCAAGGAATTTTTCTCAGAAAGAACACTATGAGCTTTTGGGTGTTTGAGAAGAGATTTTCTGTTGCCCTCATGCATAAGATGAAGAAGGTATTCTTGGGTAACAATCTTTTCCCTCAAAATTCTATATATACTATTTCCTATGTTCCAGTAATTCATGTGATAAAAAAGCAGTATGCTGAAACATCTATTTTTCCCTCCCTAGATAATCTCTTTTGTTTGTTTTTGGTTTTGCTTGAATGCAGGAAGAAGACTGCATTAGGCTGTATCTCAGTGTGAGAGTCTAAATACTAAATTTTACTTGAAACCTAGTAGGTAGCTGAAGACTCAAGTATTTCTTTAAGTTTAGGACCTTTTTTTATTTTTTGTTATCTTTTCTCTACCTGCTCTCTCCTTTTGATATTTTTATTATACCAATATTGGATCTGTTGGATTTTTCCTCTGTACCTTTTCTTTACACTCATATGGTTATGCTTGCATATTTTCCTCTGTGTTCTGGGAGAATTTCTCAACCTAATCATCTAATTTACCAATTCAATTTATTGCAAAATTCAATTTTCTCTCTGCTGCCTTTAAAACTTTTAATTTAAGGGTTATACTTCTGTTCTTATGGCAATATTTCCTAGGCTCAAATTATTATGTTTTTATAAATACAGTGTCCTCTCTAATCTTGTATTAAAATAATAAAAAGAATTGGTGATTGACCAAAGACTTTTCTTTTTCTGATTTTTTTGGGGAATAAGTCCATTTCAAAGGGTCATTTCCTCTGATTGCCCTGACTGGCCCCCTTTATTTCAATAATTTGAGTAATTATTTTAAAATTTCACAGGTCCAATGGTTTTTCCCTATTCATCCATTCCTGCAGCTCCTTGGTTGTATCATGTACTCTTTCTATCTTGCCTTCCGATATTTGCATATGATGTTACCTCTGAATAAAACACTCATCCTAGCATAACATTCAGTATAATACTACTAACAAATAGTAGTGCTCAATTAAAATTTCAGTTCAACGAGTGACTGTCTACATTTTTCCTGTTTTGGAATTTAAAAGGTGGCTTCTCTGAAACTATAAGGATCTCTATTCAAGCTGTTTAGTTTTAGACAAAGAAGAATGAAAATTTTCAAATTTTTGTAGTTTTAGTTTTTCAAGATTGGCAATTGAATTTGTACCCTGAAGTTAGGAGCAAGCATATGTGAGAAAGTTTACTCCTGTGCTTAGTGGATGTTTTTGTGTGTCTGTTGTAGTCCTTTGTGCCAGCCCCTTCTCTGACTGGCAGAGCTTTCCTCAACAGGATCCTGTGGAAATGATGCCACTGTTTTACCTGACATAGTAGATCATAGCAAGGGTGAAATGCCTGGCCAGTTGTTCTGTGTGTAGTCAAGATCCAACTTCCCAAGGTCATTTGTAGGGTTCAGATTTGTTTCACACTGGCTTGAGCCCCAGTTACTCTGAGCTGGAAGATTATCTGGGTCCCTACTAAGGACATCCATCCACTGTTGCCAGATGAATCTTTCCTTCACATGTGTTGAATTGCAGCTAGGTCAGTACTTCTTTGAATCCATATTTTAAAGTGTTTAGTAAGGCTCATATTAGTTTCCTAGGCTACCATAACAAATTACCACAACCTAGGTGACTTAAAACAACAGAAGCTTATTCTCCTATAGTTCCGAAGGCTAGAAGTCCAAAAGTAAGGTGTTGGCAGAATCATGCTCCCTCTTTAGCTTCTTGTGGGGGCCAACAATCCTTGACATTCCTTGTCTTTCAGCCACGCCACTCCAATCTCTGCCTCCATTATCACACGGTTTTGTTGCCTGTGCGTTTATGTCCAAATATATCGCTTCTTATAAAAGCACCAGTGATTGGCTTATGGCCCACCCTAATCCAGTAGGACCTCGATTTAGCTTGATTGCATCCTCAAAGGCCCTATTTCCAAATAAGGCCGCATTCATAGGTATGTATGTAAGGACTTGAACACATCCTTCAGAGAGAGACAATTCAAATCACAACGAAGTTTTAACAAAAATTTATAAAATAAGAGTGCTATGGTTTGGATGTGGCTCGTCCCTGCAAAAACTCATGTTGACATTTGACCCCCAATATTGTAGCGTTGGGAGGTGGGGTCTAGCAGGAAGTAAATTCCTCATAAATAGATTAATGCCTTTCTTTTATAGATTAGGGCATCTCTCTCTTTTCTTTATAATTATCCAGCCTCAGGTATTCTGTTATAGCAACACAAAACAGACTAAGACAAAGAATAGGTAGGATTAATTCCCAGGAGAGCAGGCTGTTTAAAAAGCATGTGGCTTCCTTGGTTTCTTTCTCTTGCTTCCTCCCTCACCATGTGATCTTTTAGCACATGCCCACTCCTCTTCTACTTTCCATTATGAATGGAAACAGCATAAGGCTCTCACCAGAAGTCATGCAGATGCTTCCCAGAATACAGAAGTGTAAGCTAAATAAGCCTCTTTTCTTCACAAATTACCCAGCCTCAGATATTCTGTTATAGCAACACAAAACAGACTAAGACAGAGTTTCTCTTACTATACAGTAAGACCCTAAATCTAGTTTTTTGTAAACTGTATCTTATCAAAATTTCTGAAAGTTTCTGGCCTGATGATAGCATTGTTTTCTACTCTCCAGCTCTGCTGCAGATGTTGTCATAATTTCTTTGGCTGTCTTTAATGGAATTTGGGTGGAAGGAAGGAGAGTTAAGTATGTGCATCAAAATCACCATCTTAAAGTGAAATAATGTTACATCACAGTCTTCATTAATATTTTACTTATTGATAAATGTTAAATGGAATTAATAATGGTCACTAGAAGAGAATAATGGTGCCATGGCTGTCAGCTATTAAGGAAATACAAATAAAATGATCAACGGTGTCAAAAATCTCTGCCTTGAGTCACCCCTGCAACAGCTCAAGGCACATTCTTTCCTTCCACTGAAGAGTAATCTTCCTCCAGAGAACTTGCCTATGTGCCTAGCTCAGAAAATATCTAAGAGTATTTCTCAAAAAGTATTTAACGTCTGTAAAAATGGAAAGATAATGTGCAGTGACATTTTCTAATTCTTCTTGTTGACGGGAGAAGGGAAGTCTTGAGGCACAAGTCGAACTTAGGGAACATCATAGAGTCAGCAGCATGGAAGAGGCAGAAGGCCTGGATGTGAGAAGAGATAAGGCGTATTTTCTGTGCCCACCCATGACCAGGCGCTATAATGCTTATTTATCTTCACACAAGCCTGCAAGGTCAGTGGCATTAATTCTGTTTTTACAAATAAGGAACCAGGCTCAAAAGGGTTAATTTGCCCATGGTCATATAATAGGTAAGTGGCAGAAGTATGGGAGAGGAGATGGGTTGCTAATGTAGAAGTAAGTACTGGGCTGAGCAATGAGGTAAGACTCACACACCTCAGACTCAACTTTGGAGTAAGACATACTTCTTCCTATCTTGCCTCTGCCAAGTGGAAACTGACAGAGCAACTTTGAGCAAGTCATTTATGTTCTCTGAGCCTCAGTGAACTCATCTGCAAAATGGGTATAATAATACCAACCTTAATGGGGTTAAATGAGACAAAATACACAATATCTGCTTTGAAGCACATTAGTTCTACCACTTTCCCCACCCTAGAAGGAGAAATGCCCCTGAGGGAATTTGGGCCTGTCTAGTTTTATTTTATTGGTAATACCTTTTCTTTCTCAAGATACTTACCCATGCATTATCCTAGTCAACCCTGGTTAGGAAAATCCCAACACCCACCCAATCACTCTGGCAGGTGAAGGAATAATCTCAGGGGTCTTGAAAAATCCTCCCAAGGTCATAGGGCTCCCGCTGAAGCTGGGCTCCAGATCACCTGACTTCTGGTTACAGATGGATCTAATGGAGCAGTCCCTCAGCACCACATTTGCTGAATTACAAAGTAGTGCAGCTGTACATCAAGGCCAAAAGCTATTAACAAGCTTCTGTGACAGCAATTTCAGGTTCAGTTTCTATTGACCTGTTAGTTGTCTGCTCCTGACTGAGGCATCAACTATCTCACCCTTTCTGTGTACAATGTGGAGTTTCAATAAGGAGCCAGGCAGGGACCATCCATCAGTGTCACCTGCTGTGTCTGGGGGCCCTCTTGGAGAGAGGAGTAGAAGAGAAGCAACATGGCCCACAATCCATCAGCTCATATAACATTTGAATTGCCACTCCACAAGGACTCAGCTACATAACTTCCAATAATCATAAATTATTATAAATAATGTGGAATAAATCAAAATTATCAAAAATAATGTGAACGAAATAAAATTTCTATAAGGTTTACTATCCATCATTATTTAATCTTCCATACTCAGGTCTCTATATCTATTACTTGATCAATCTTTCTTTCTCTTTCTTTGTTTCTCTGTCTCTCTCTGTCTCTCTCACACACACACATGCACACACACACATACACACATATAGTCTATATCAGGTTCAGGTTAGCTGGTATAAATTTATCTTGACTTTCACAAAAAGCAAGGCAAATGTTAAATTCTTCTCTCCATTTGAATCCAAATCAAGAATTTTCAAGAGCCTTAATACTAGGAGACAAGCTTCAGAATAATGCTCAGTTAAAAGGCTGCATAACCAGCCTCATTTCCATTGCAACATCTTAAGCTCTGGATTGTTAAACCTTCTGTAGTGGGAATCCTTTGCTTATTATTCCCCTCATGTGCAGGCTGCATGATCAGCTTCTCAAATGTGAGCTATGCTTTATGCCAAGGTGATCTCAGGCTATTGCACACATTACGCAGATTTTGCATATGGGGGAATAAATCTCAATGACCCTAAAATTGTTCCCTTATAATCAGTTTTCTTTCCTATAACTGTATCTCTCTGAGGACTGTCTGGGGCTTTACTACAACAAATAAGTTAATGTAGAAGAGAAAACAGATGGATTTGATTGCATTCTGGGGTTTTTATAAAGCAACTCATTTTGCAAAGTATTAAGTGAGGTTTTGTCTACAAATTCCCCAACAGAACGAATAAAGAAGGGGACTTTGGGTCTCAAAATAGCATGGAAGGACAATAATTAAGGTTCCAGCCAAGTGGCCTAAGAATCTAATCAGTGGCAATAAGATTCCAAATGCTATGCTAATTCTATGATGGTCACTAACTCGCTTTATGATCTTGTACATTTCAGTTAACAGCTCCACATTGGGTCGGAGTTTTCATATGCCTCACAGGTTTGATGTAAGAAATATCTATTCAAAGCGAATATGTTAGTTTTACTAGCCACTAAAGAGTTTTGTGCCATGTCCTAAAGAAAAGTTCAAGGCTCAGTTCAATTTAAAAATAAGAAATTGTCATCAACCAACCACTTTCATGATTCAAAACTATTTTAAATCTGATATTCTAGGGGTGAGGTTGAGTTTAGACTGGAAGGGAGAAATCCAAAATACCAGATCCCTTCTCTGAGAACTGTTACATAATGGGCCTTTGCATATATGAGTGTTTTCATGACCATTCTACTTCCATGTCCCACTGCCCACACCCATACTGAGCTGTGTTGAACAGAGTACATACCTTACCCAAAGAGAACCCCAAATGGATATTGATTGAGATGGGGAAACCAGACTCTGTCTCCTAGAAATTTGAAATTAAAAATCAATGGGCCTTCATCATACATTGCTGGTGCGAATGTAAAAACCTACAGCCACTATGAAAAACAATATGGCAGTTCCTTAAATAATTAAACATAGCATTACCATATGACTCACCAATTTCATTCCTAAATATAATTCCAAGAGACTTGGAAAGATATGTTCCACCAAAACTTGTAAACAGAGTTCATATCATACCCTGATACCAAAGCCCAAAAAGGATACTGTAAAAAGAGAAAATTACAGGCCAATATTCCTGATGAATATAGATGCAAAGATCCTCAATGAAATACCAGCAAACCTAATTCAACAGCACATTAAAAGGATCACTCATTCCTGATCAAGTGAGATTTATCCCTGGATGCAAGAATAGTTCAATACATGCAAATCAATAAATATGATACACTACATTAACCTAATGAAGGACAAAAGCCATGTGATCATCTCAATAGATGCAGAAAAGGCATTCGACAAAATTCACATCCTTTCATGATAAAAATTCTTGACAAATTAGGTATAGAAGAATTGTGCCTCAACATAATAAAGGCACAGCTAACCTCATACTGAACAATGAAAAGTTGAAAGGCCTTCCCTCTAAGGTGAGGAACAAAACAAAGACATCCACTGTCACCATGTCTATTCAACATATACTAGATGTCCTAGCCTGAGAAATTAGGCAAGAAAAAGAAATAAAAGGCATCCAAATTGGAAAAGAAGAAGTTAAATAGTCTCTGTTTACAGACAAGATGATCTTATGTATAGAAAACCCTAAACACTTCATCAAAAAAGTTAGAACTAATCAACAAATTCAGTAAAGTTGAAGGATACCAAATCAACATATAAAAATAGTAGAATTTCTATACATTAACAATGAACTATCCAGAAAAGAAACCAAGAAAATAATCTCATTTATGATAGCATAGAAAAACACTTACAAATAAGTTTAATCAAGGAAATGAAAGATGTGTACACTTATAAGTATGAAACATTGATGAAAGAAGTTTTCAAAGATACAAATAAATGGAAAGATATACAATGTTCATAAGCTGGAAAAATTAATATCATAAAAATGTCTATACTATCCAAAGTGATCTACAGATACAATGCAATCTCTATCAAAATTTCAGTGTCACTTTTCATAGAAATAGAAAACACAATCCTAAAATTCATATGGAAAAACAAAAGACCCTGAATTGCCAGGCAATCTTAAGCAAAAAGAACAAAGCTGGAGGCATCATACTACCTGATCTCAAAATCTACTACAAAGCTATCATAATCCAAACAGCAAGGTACTGGCACAAAAACAGACATATAGACCAATGGAATAGAATAGAGAGGCCATAAATAAATACACACATTTATGGTCAACTGACATTTGACAAAAGTGACAAAATCATACAATGGCAAAAAGACAATCTCTTCAGTAAGTAGTGTCAGGAAAACTGGATATGCACAAGTAGAAAAATGAAATTGGACCCCATCTCACCTCACAGGCAAAAATCAACTCAAAATAAATTAGACTTAAAGGTAAGACCCAAAACTGTAAAACCAGTAGAAAAAAAAAACAGAAAAGTTTCTTGATGTTGGTCTTGGCAAAGATCTAGTGGATAAGACCCCAAAAGCAAAGGCAACAACAGCAAAACTAGACAAATGGAACTGCATCAAACTAAAACTTTCTGCACAGCTGGGGAAACAATCAACAAAGTGAAGAGATAACCTATAGAAATGGAAGAAAATATTTCCAAACCACACATCTGATAAGGGGTTAATATCCAAAAATACACAAGGAACACAAACAACTCAATAGCAAGAAAACAGATAACTTGATCAAAAAATGGACCAAGGACCTGAGTAGACATTTATCAAAAGAAGACACAAGTAGCCAACAGGTATATAAAAAGGTACTCAACATCACTAATCATCAGGGAAATGTAAACTAAAATCACAATGAGATATCATCTCACACCTGTTAGAATGACTATTATCAAAAGATGGAAGATAATAAATGTAAACAAGAATGTAGAGAAAAGGCAACTGTGTTATACTGTTGGTGGGAATGCAGATTGGCACAAACATTATGGAAAACAGTATAGAGATTCCTCAAAAAATCATAAATAGATCTAGCGTATGATCCAACAATTTCACTTCTGGGTATAAATCCAAAGGAAATGAAATCAGTATGTCAAAGAGATATCTATACTCCCATGTTCATTGCAGCATTATTCACAATAGCCAATAGATACAATCAACCTAAGTGTCCATCAATGAATTAATGAATGAAGAAAAAGAAAACGTGTAATATATAATATATATATTACACATACACATACACAAATGGAATACTATTAGGCCTCAAGAAAGAAAATCCTGTTGGTTGAGATAATGTGAATGAATCTGGAGGAACATTATGCTAAGTGAAATAAGAGAAATTTCCAATTTTCCAACTTCTCTCAGTACAGAAAGATCATTACCGCATGATCTCACTTGTATGTAGAATCTTAAAATATCAAACTCATAGTAGCAGAGAGTAGAATGATGGTTACCAGGAGCTACAGGGAGAAGGGTAAGAAATAAGGAAATGTTGGTTACGACATACAAAGTTTCGTTTAGACAGGAGGTGTACATTCCTGAGATCTATTGTATAGCATAGTGACTATAACTAATAATAATGTAAATTATTATCATTATAGATTATAGCAATATAAATTATTATTTTATTGTTGTAATAATAAAAATTGCTAAGTCCATAGATTTTCAATGTTTTCAACACAAAGATAAGTATGTAAGGTAATGGACATGTTAATTAGCTTGATTTAATCATGGCACAATGTATAACATATATCAATATATCATATTGTACACATAAATTTGTCATTTTTTAATTATAAATAAATATTTTTTTAAAACAATGTTCATAGCAGCATTATTGTTAAAAACCACAAAGTGGAAACAGCCCAAATGTTCATCAGCTGATGAATGAATATGCAAAATGTGGCATATCCATAAATGGACTATTATAATATTTAGCTATAAAAAGTAATGAAGTACTGTCATATACTACAACACAGATGATCCTTACAACATTATTCTAAGTGAAATCAGTGAGACACACAAGGCCATATATTGTATTACACCATTTATATAAAATATCCAGAGGAGGCAAATTCATAGAGACAGAAATTATATTAGAGGTTGCACAGGGTATGTGGTGGGGAGGTCATTGGGACTAGCTGCTAGAAGGTATGGGATTTCTTTCTAGGGTGATGGAAATATTCTGGAATTAGGTAGTGGTGATAACTGGACAACATAACAAATATGCTAAAAACCAATGAAGCATACACTTTCAAATGGTGACTTATTTTATATGAAGTATATTTCAATTGTTTAAAATGCTATACTTTTTAAAAAGCAAAAAGATTAAGTCAGGTAGCTATGGACTCTAGACAAGGAACATCTTATAACTTAGAGAACGAGGGTACAATTTGAGGGCATTCATGATGAGCCGTATACAAGCTAAGCAGAGAAAGTTTTCCTTGGAAACAGGGAAGGATTAGATACTCAAGACAGCAGCAGAGACAAGACAATTAGCAGCCCCTAGGAGGATGAAGCTCTCCAAGTCCTAGTATGGATCTTTGTGAGATCCAGCTGAACATCCTGCCCCTGAATACATATACCCATACCTACTTAATAGATCCCTTATTTTTACTTAAGCTTATAAATTTCAGTTTGGAAATTTCTCAGAGAACTAAAAATGGAGCTACCATTTGACCCAGCAATCCCATTACTTTTCCTTTATATATCCTAAAGGATTTATTTCCTTTATATATCCAAAGGAAAATAAACAATTCTACCAAAAAGATACCTACACTTGTATGTTCATCGCAGCAGTATTCATAATAGCAAAGACATGGAATCAACTTAGGTGTCCATCAACAGTGGATTGAATAAAGAAAATGTGGTATGCATACACCAAGGAATACTATGCGGTCAAAAAAAGAATAAAATCGTGTCTTTTGCAGCAACATTGATGCAGCTTAGGCCATTATCCTAAGCAAATTAGTGAAGAAAGAGAAAAGCAAATATTACATGTTCTCTTATAAGTGGGAGATAAACATTGGGTACAAATGGACATAAATTTGGGAATAATAGACCCTGGGGACTCCAAAACAAGGGAGGAAGGGAAAGTGGCAAGGGCTGAAATACTTCCTGTTGGTACTATGTTCACTATATGGGTGATGAGATCAATGAAAGCCCAAACCTCAGCATCACAAAATATACCATCATAACAAACCTGCACAAGTGCCCCCGAATCTAAAATTTCTTAAAGTATAAATGAGTAAAAAATACAAAAGGCAAAAGATGAAAAAACAGACAACTTTTCTCTCAAAGTATAAAGTACTGTGATATATGAAAAGAGACAGGCTTGGTGAATATCCTCCCTAATAGCATCCATGAAAATTAACTTTAATTGATTTGCTATTAAAATTCTACATCCATAACTACTTTGTATAATGATTTACTCAGTAAGGCTGATTTTGCGTCATGAGCTGGCAGGTGCATAGGTACATTTATAGAAGAGAGCATAATTTTTTTAAGAATGCTAGGGGATGCCTAAACTCGGCATCACTATTCACCCCTAGGTTCCTAAAGATGGTAATCTCTACATCTTCCAGAGACATGGTTTATGGAAACTAGTACTTGCAAAATCAAGATGTTGCCTGTGAGGTCATTGGACCTTGGCCTAAATCTAATTTGAATAATTACATTTCATTCCACCCTGAGTCAGTAGAGGCTCCTGATTAATAATCAGCATTTGCTACATGCCAGTGAAGTGTTTGCTGCTATAAATAGACAGAGTTAACAATCTAATTAACTATAGGAACTGGCAAGATGAACACTCAATTCAGAGAGAAAGATAGATGACAGTATTTTTAAGGTCTGTGAGCACTGAGATGTCCCTGACCCTAATTCATTAGCAGTTATTGTCAAAGGTTACTCTGTTAACCCTCATTTTAAAAAAATCTCCTCCAAAAGCTGCTACCTTTTCTTCCTGGGGGCAGAAAATTCAGCAATAAATATTCTATAATGATACTACAGCACCTTGAGGCCCCTAAGGATAAAACATTACTGTCACTGTCATTCTAACACTTCCACCGACTGATAGTGTACAGCCCTCAGACATGCCCATCCTCTATGACCAAGTGCCCTAACACTAGTGGCCAGGCAGGAAAAATTCTGCCATTGCCTTTTCACAATAGTGCTTGTTTCTCATGGAATTTATTTGATGCTTTCCTCTATCCAGTTGTAAAGAAATAAAATCCAGCATAGGGCAGGCCTCTGTGGGCAGAAAGTCTGTTCTATTAAATGATTTATAATCTAAAGTTCACATTCTTATTTCAATCTGAGAGTATCTGAATTTGGTCTAATATTGAATTGAAATAAACATTTTGACAACAATAGGATTTCCATCCTTTTTTTTCTTTCGTATTTCATTTGCAAAATGTGTCTCCTTCCGTTGTCTTGCTCCCCAATGGAGGATACCTGAGCCCTAGAATACCAAGCCAGCTAAGTTGTGATTTCACTGTTTAGCCAGTCTCTGGCCTTTACAGAGCATCTTAAAGATAGGATCTTTGCTGTTCACACATTATCTAAATGCATACAGCATCCCAGTGGCTGTGAGCCCAGGTCCTGGGATTCACCTCTACATTTGGCCTTAGACTATATATTTTTCTCCTTTCTTATTGCCAAGCCTTTCTACTGAGTATTCCATATCTGTTGCTTGGCCCTCTGCCTTCAATGCCGTGTCAAATGCCACCAGTGGTGTTCTAATGACAAAACTTTATTTCCGTGGGTTTATTGAAGTATTCTGCCACCATCGAACACCTTTTGTATTCTTGAAATTCTTCCTTCTCTTGGTTCAATAACATTTTTTTGTTTCCCTTAACCTTGATTCTAGGGCTGCCAGATTTAGCAAATAAAACTGCAGGCCACCCAAATTTGATTCTGTATAAATACGTATTTTATACTAAAAAATTATTTGTTGTTTATCTGAAATTCAAATTTAACTGGGTGTCCCGTATTTTATCTGATAACCCTACTTGGTGATGATGTATTTCTGCCTCTTTCCCTCCAGGCTTTGGTCTTTGTTCCTATTATTTACTTTATTCTCACTTGTCCCTCTCTGAATTTATCTTTTCTACCAGATTCATATCACTTTTAGATCACCTGTCTTTTTCCTCTGAACTCCGTAAACACATTCAGCAGTTTTAATGCTTCCTTGTCACATATATTTTCTTCTATTGTCTTAAATCATTATTTGAATCTTTCCTGTGTTTATTAGTTATCACTGACACTTGATTTCACATTCCTGGAGGTGAGAATTCTTCTTTGTATCTCAAAGCCTATAGCATGGCTTCCATGTGTGAGCTGTCAACGAATATATGAAATTCCCATCTTTGTTCTCTACTCATCATAGTAATCTCTCACATGTTTATGCAATGCTGCCTGGAAACCCTACTACTGCATTCCCTTAGTCTATTCACTCTCCCGTTCTCCCGAATGTCACACCTCTTTCCCTCCGCACTCTTAGCTGATGACCTTGCTTCCTATATTGCTGGAAAAACTGAACCAATCAGAGAAAAATTCCATGAGCTCTCACTTGTATAACAAACAACCCACCAGTGTCTGCACCCACATTTTCTGCCTTCCTTTCTGTAACAATGGATCACAATAGAAAAGTGTGCCTTTCTAAGGCTGACTCCTCCCTTTGTTCACTGGATGTCTTCTCCCTCACTGGCTCAAGGGTATTACCACAGCAGTTCGCACTCTGTTTCCTTATGTAATCATGTTTCTTCTTTCTATAATACAATTACCATTAGCATGCTTTAGCATTTCCCCTTTTAATGAGCAAACAAACCAACCTCCTTCTCCCTTAACATCAAATTACCCTCCAGCTACTGCACTATTTTTCTGCCCCTTTAATAACAAAACTCCTCCAAAGGGTGTGTACTTTGACTCCACTTTCTCTTTTGCTGTTTTCTCTTGAACCTACTGCCATCAGGATCTTTTCCCACCCACACCTGAACTGTTTGTGTCAAGGTTACTTATTAATTACCTCCAAATTGCCATACTAAACAGAAACAACTTAGACTTCACCTAACTCAGTCAGTCAGCAGTATGTGAACTGCGAGCATTGCTTTAGCAATCATCCCTCTCTCTTCTGTGTAATAAGTTTTGAAACATTCTTCAAATGGCATCTTTCCTCAGCTTCTACATCACCACTCCCTTTTGGTTTTCCTTCTTCCTCATTAGCTGCTCCTCCTCAGTCTCTTCTGCCCATTACTTTTCATTTTCCTGATCCCCAAAAGGAGGAATGCTCCAGGGCTCAAACCCTGAACCTATTTTAAAAATCTATACTCACCGTCTGCTGATCTCATCCAATCTAATGGACTTAAATACTTTGTATATGCTAATGACTCCCAAGATTTTATCTCTATCCTGGGCCTTTTCCTTGAACTCCAGACTCATATTTCCATTTGTTTACACAACATCTCTACTTGGAAGTCTATGATAAATCTCAAACTGAAATGTCCAAAACTAAACTGGTTTCCCCACCCTTATCCCAAACCTGCTTCTCCCACCTTAATAACTCTTACATCTGTTGTATTAATAGTTGCACATATCAAAACTCTTGGAGCCATTTTGACATTTCGTTTTCTCTCACACCCCACATCCAAATTAGTCATAAAATCCTGTTAGTTCTACCCTCAAAATGTATTCGGAATCTGACCATCCTCACTAACTCCATCTCTTGCCTACATTATTATAACAACCTTTGCCAACTTCCATCCTTTTCCCTCTCCCATCTATTCTCCACACTGCAACCATAATGATCCTTTTAAAACATATCAGGTCATTCCTCTGTGCAAAATCCTCCAATGGCTTCCTATCTTGTAGTAAAAACCAAAAACTCCTGTCGTTGGTCTACAAGGTCCATACAAGGGCCATGTGATAGGGCCTCCTATAACTTTCTGACCACCAATCCACCCCTCTTCCACACTGGCTTCCTTGCTGTTTTTTGAAGGTCTCAAGAAAACTTTCACACTTTTTATTTGCTATTTCCTTAGCCTGAAATAATCTTTCCCTAGATACCCATCACTTCCTTCACAGCTCTACTCAAAAGTCACCTTATCACAGAGGCCTTTCCTGACTACCCTATAACATCCTTCTTCCCCTTCTCCCACTCCGTAATTCCCATCCCTACTATTCTGCTGAATTTTCTCCTTGGCAATTTCATGTCAAGATAGAAGTTTGTTTTTTTACTATCTATTTCCCCGACTAGAATGTAAGCTTTGCCTGAACAGGGATTTGGTCTGTTTTGTCACTGCTATAAGTCTATACCTAGACCCATGCCTAGCCCCTGGCAAGCATTCAACAAATATTTTTGTGTACATAAATAATTGGAACTGTATACTGAATACATTAATCTTTCAGCTGAAGGGTTATAAAAGATTCACATGCTTAAGTATCAGAAAACCAAGGTTCATTCATCCCTCTGTTCATTCAACAAATACATATTAAACATATACAACGGGCCAAGTGTTTTCCTAAGCACTATACAGTGGAGTATGTAGAGTAGAAAAGAGAGGAGTCCCGTCTCTAATATTTACCAGCTGTGTTGTCTCTGGCAAACAAACAGCTTCTCTAAATTTTGCATTGATCAGCAACATTAGATCAAGAAAACTATCCACCTTGTGGGGTTATTGAGAAGAACAAATAACATAGTGTTTTTACCTGAATGTGATTTGTAAACATTCAAGTGCTACACAAATGTAAATTATTACTGATTCTCATAACAACCTTATATGGCAAACAAGGCAGTATTTTTGCAATAGTCTCATTTTTTATTTTTTTAAAAAACAACAACTCAGAAAGGATGAATGATTTGTCCCCCAGTCATACAGTTAGTAAGTAGCAGAGCCAGAGCTGCATCTCAGGTCTTTGGGCCAACATCCTAGCCCTATTTCCATGGCACACATTCTTTAAATAGTTCAATTTATATTTTATGAATTAATGAAATTATGCTTATGGAACCCTTTTAACATCTTTGGCAAAAGATCCAGAGAAGTATTTGCATTTGTTTCACAGGGCTGCCGTAACTAAGTACCACAAACTGGGTGGCATAAAAACAGAAATTTATTCTCTCACGGTCTGATATCAAGGTGTCAGCAGGACCATGCTCCCTCTGAAAGTTCTAGGGAAGAATGGTTCTTCGCTTACTTCTAGCTTCTGGTGTTTGCCCACAGTCCTTGGCATTCCTTTGCTTATACATGAACCACTCTAATATCCACCTCCATCATCACATGGTGTTCTCCCTGTGTCTGCGTGTTTGTGTGTAAATTACCTCTCTTTCAGGAAACCAGCTATCGTATTAGGGCCCACTCTACTCCAGTATGACCTCATCATAGCTTGATTACATATGCAAAGACCCTATTTCCAAATTAAGGTCACTTTCACAAGTACAGGGGTTTAAGACTTAAACATCTCTTTTGGGGGAATACAATTCAACTCACAACAGTATCTCAAAGGTCTAAAAACATATCCCAAAGAACAAGCCAGAAGAAGAAGTTAACATTGTTGGAAAGTATGCATGTCCAAAGACAGTCCAGCTGCACATGGAACAGACATAAACCAGAGTTTCCCTTGCAACTGACAAACAAGTAAAAAGAGAATCAACCTAAAGCCATGGAATTGTCATTTTGGTGAAAAAGAGTTTGGCAAATGCCCTGATTTCCCTGAGAGGCAAATTGATTCATAAAGTAATCTACCTTAACCGGCATTATATAATCCCGCTAAAGGATGTGCAATGAAAGCAGTGATGCAAGCAGGGCAGAGCTCAGGGAGAAATCTTGCCCTACATTGTTATGCAGCACTACTGCGAAGCTGGCACACCTTTCTGCTTGCGCTGCCTCTAGCACCTCACCCAGCAACTAACCCAGTTTAGTCAGACCTTCCAACGTTAAGGGAGGTTCTATATTTAGACAATGTTCCCTGCCTGAGGATGAACTGTACTGGCTGCAGTGTCACACCTTAACATAGCACTGTTCCTAATCTTTGTTTGTTGGGGGAAACCAGCAGCCTTCTCTGGCACATGAACTTAGAGAGACCCCAGAAGCTCATCTAATTCAACTCCTTTTTACAGCATCCAAGTGCAGACTTTGGAGCCACTGCCTGGGTTTGAACCATAGTCCCAACACTTTCTAGCTCTGGGACTATGGTTCTTACCATAGGGTGTCTTTGGACTAGTTCCTCAACCTCTTCTTTGCCTCATTTTTCTCATCTCTAAAATGCAGACAATAGTACTATTTACATCAAAGGGCATTTGAAATGGTGAGTAGTCTATGTAAAGCACTAAATCAGTGCCTGGAACATAGTAAATTCAAAAGAAACTTTAGTCATTACTATTTTTATTGTTTCAGATGTGCACACTAAGGCTCAGAGACATGATATGAGCTGCCCAGGTTAACCAGCAATTTAATACACACTCAGACCTGGAATTGGTCTATTGGGGCACTACCCTCTTATTTGGTCTATAGTTAGTACACTTAGAGTAGCTCCTTTGAGATGGATAAGAAAGGTAGGAGTCATGCCTCACCAGTTCTATCGCTCTGGCTTTACTTTGTTTCCCAGACTGTATAATTGTCACTGTGAAATTTTGGGGATGGTCCTGGGAGGATGAGATAATAACAATAACAACAAGTTAGATTGGAGGGGTGTGAGACAAAAGGCAAGAAAACCACTTAGTGGCCATTACAATAGTCCAGCTGATAAACAATTAGATGAGAAGGGAAGAAAGATTGGGGAAATTAAGTTTATTTTAAACATCATAATAAACCAAGGTGGCTTATTACTAGCAAAAAGCGCAAGGCCAGCCAAAATATAAGTGCCTTACCTGATAAGAGCATGAAGGAGGACTGTAGGCATGCATGACTGGTTTGGTAAAAGCATGTGATTACTTCAACCGGTTAGAAGTTAGGAGTAATGTAGAACTGCTGAGATACCTAAGTGGAATCATGTGAGATTTCAGCAACTATATAAATCACATGAGGAATGTGAGGCAGGGGAGGGGGACTGTGGGAAGATTTACCCTTTCATCCTGCATCTATGCAAGAGGGTAGTAACAACTGAGGGTTGACAAACCCAAGAAAGCACCCTGATCTACACAGCACAGGAGAGACTTGTGTGGCACCAAATACTAGAAATATCTTGAGGAAAGGGACAGATGAATTTTCCTTAGGAAAAGGAAGGAAACTAATATTTTAAAAATATCTCTGTGCTCCAGGCATGTCAGCTCGTCTAATCAAATTCTTGGGCCCCATGCCAGACCTCAAATTATAAAGGAGTTTAAATGGGGGTGCCCCCACTTTATAAGGAAGAGGAAGTATTGATATAAACTGGTAGGTGATTGGATGTGGGGATAAAAGGAAATGAGTCCTTGAGGATGATGCCCCAACTTCTGATGAGCAGTTTGGAAGATAGAGGCATTTCCCAGCATTTGGAATTAACAAAAAGCATTCCACATTCACTTCTGATTCTTTTAAAATACCTGAAGAGACTAGTAATCACAATAGCAGATATTTACTGTTCATACCCACTTTCTTATTTAGTCCTCAAAACATCTCTAGTAGGTAAATTATTCTTGTGTTTATTTTACAGATAAAATAATCAAGATTCAGAGAGATCACAGAACTCTGGTTTCCTGACACCATATTATCAGCACTTCAAGTCTGTCAGGGTCATGGCAACAAGTCTTGAGGGGAAAGAGAACCAAATATGGCAGTAATCAAGGAAGCCACACCCAGAGGAGCTCTAGTCTAGAGTACAGTTGGGACCCTTGGCTTCAAAATGCCACATCCAACTGGTAGGATAAGGAAAAAGTTCCAGCTTCACTCTATTCATAGTTTGTCGATCTTTGGCATGCTCAGAATGTGGGCCTTTGGCAAAATACGAAATCAATCTAATTGTCTATCAACAGATGAATAGATAAAGAAAATGTGATACATATACACAATGGAATAGTATTCGTCTTTTAAAAAAAGAAGGAAGTTCTGTAATTTGCCACAACATGGATGAATCTGGAGGCATGTTAAGTGAAATAGGCACAGAAATACTACTTGCTCTCACGTCTACGTGGAATCCAAAACAGTCAAATCCATAGATGTAGAGAGTAGAATGGTGGTTACCAGGTGGTATGGAGTGGGGAATGGGGAGATATTGATCAAAGGGTACAAAGTTTCAGTTAGACAGTGGGGAAGGTTTTCAAAATCTATTGCTTAGCATCATGACCATGGTTAGTAATAATAATAACGTATGTTTTTAAATTGCTAAAAGAGTAGATTTTAAATGTTCTCACTGCAAAAAAATGTTAAGAATGTAAGGTGATTGATATGTTCATTAGTTTGATATAATCATTCCACAATGTATACGTATATCAAAATATCACATTGTACCCCATAAATATATATATTATTTGTCAATTAAAAATAAAACTTTGAACAAAAATAATGTGGGCCTTTGGAATATCCTAAAGCAAATTCATTCATTCATTCACAAATATTTTTTAGTGCATACTATTGCCACGCTGGCCCTGTTCTAAAGGCTGGGGATACAGCCTAGGACAACACAGCCAAGGTCCCAATGCTCTGGCATTTACAGAAGGAAACAGACAATAAGCAAGTAAACAAAGAAGATACTTTCAGACAGTGATGACATTCTACAAAGAAAGTAAATCTGAGGCAGCTGGTGCAGGGAATATGAGAGAGTATTCAGCGTCATGGGGAGGGTGCGTACGAGAATGCACTTTCATCTACATGGTTCAGGAGAGTCTTGTGTGGTGAAAGAAGAGAGCTTTGCTAAGATCTGAGCAGAGCATTTTCCAGGGAAAGAGAAGAGCAGATACAAGACCCCGAGGGTAGGCCAAGTCAGAGTCTATGGAAGGACAGCAGGATATAAAGCTGGAGAGATAGACAGGGAACAGTCTATGTAGGTTTTAGCATGCTAAGAGGTTTAGACTTCATTCTAAATTCAAAGGAAAACCAGCGTAGCGGTTTAGGTACAAGAGTTATTTATGTTTTTAAAAGATTCCTGTGGCTGCCACATAGAGAATGGATTGCAGGTAGCCCAAATGATAGCCACGAGAATAGTTAGGAGACTATTCCATAGCCTAAGATGAGGCATGCTAGTGGCTTGGATAAGGTTGAAAGCAGTGGAAATGAAAAGAAGTAGATGGAAGTGAATGAATACAGCATATCCCATATTTTGGGCAGAAAGCTAATGGACTAGATGTGGAGAGAAGCAGGAAAAAGGGGCTCATGAATGGAGTCATGTTGCAATATATGTGCATTAATCATCTGCTAGAGCAGCATCTTCTAGAATACATATATTTTAACCATGACCTATAGTAAATAATGCATCATGACCCAGGAAACAGTATGTAATAGAAACAAACCATCATGAAACAGCATTGATTTTTACCACACGTAGTACACTCTGAATAGATCCTGTTCCTGGCTGCACCACCACCAACACCTTTTTTTTTTTCAAATTCTGATCACAACTGATTAAATTGATTTCATGACCTATCAATGGGTCATGACTCACAGTTTGAAAATCTATGCTGGACTGGACACAGTGCCTCTGCCTGTAATCCCACACTTTGGGAGGCCAAGGCGAGCAGATCACTTGAGCCCAGGAGTTCGAAACCAGCCTGAGCAACAGGGTGAAATCTAGTTTCTACAAAAAACAAAACAAAACAAAACAAAAAACCAGCTGGGTGTGGTGGCATGTGCCTGTAATCCCACTCACTCAAGAAGCTGAGGTGGGAGGATCACTTGAGCCCAAGATGCCAAGGCTTCAGCAAGCTGAGATCATGCCACTGCACTCCAGCCTGGGTGACAGAGTGAGACCCTGTCTCAAAAAAGAAAAGAAAATCTATGCTGGAAGGTCACAGAAGATTGTTTTATAGGTCTGAGTGTACGTTTTCCTAAACCTCCTTTCTCAGAAAGTTTATGCTTCTCTAGCCTCACTCTGTGTGGTTTGCTATGATTTGCATGCATTTGAACTCTCTACATCTGTATAAAGCATTCATTGCTTGTAGTTTCTCAAAGGATGCTTTTAACTCAAGTGTTAGTCCATCTGTTAAGACCTATTTATTGCTTTTTAAGAGAAAAAATTAAAAGCATATTAGGAATTCTAGGCTCATAATAACCAGGATTTTTTTTTTCCTTTTGTAAAACCCTTCCATCTGTCTGCCCTCTTTTGGACATAACTCAAATAGGAGCACACATCTCATCAAATCAAATGTGGGTGCTGTCAAAAAGTCTGCCAAAATATCATGCCATTTGCTTTTTTTAAAAAGAAGAATTAAAATCAGATTTAACAAAATTAGTTATTTGTTTTGTTGCTTTTCTTTCCATCCATTACAGAAACATAGACCTCAATTTACTACATGCAGGTTTATACAGTGGCCTTCTAGGGGTATTCCCAAATTACCCTAAGATAAACTAGATAGCACAGTTTTACTGGGGCAAAAATTAGCAGTAGAGAAAGAAACCATTGCAGGAGGACAGAGAGAACCAGAGGCTCTAGCTCTGAACCCCATAGGACAGAAACCCCAGGGTGAGGGCAATTACCCCATCTGGCTTTTCTCTCTCCTGCAGAGCCTAGCCCAGAGGAGTTTGCTCGGTACCCTGGCAAGTCATTTAATCTTTGACTAGTTCTTCTTGACCTAATCTTGTGATTTAAAATAATAGCTGTCTAACTACTCTTCCAAAGATCTTCTGAGAATAATCAGGAATTAAAGAGTCACATATAAGAACATAAAGGAACTAACAGCTACTGCTCAGTTATCAGACAAAAAGCCCTGAAGTCTCTTGGACAGCCCTTCCTGGCAAAGATGGGTGATCCATGGTCTCAGGACTATGACTCCCCCGTAGCCAAGGGTGCTATAGCCTTAAAAACCTGCAGTGGTGGCAGGTGCTATGCAATGGTTAAGAGCAAAGATTCTGGTCAAGTAGACCCTGGTATTAAAATTTTGGCTCTACCATTTAGCTCTGTTTGACCTTGCACATATCACATAATCCTAATCCTCAGTTTTCTCATTAGGATGTTGGGAGATTAAATGAGAATAAATCATACAGAGCACTTGGCAAACCCTCTAGGAAAAATGAAACACACAAATGGCAGATACTATTGTTATTGTTACTGCTGTTATTATGAAAGAAAATCGCTCAAGTATGTTATAGGGGTAGAGCAATAAAAATGTGAAGTCTGTAAAAAAGGAAAAAGGTGTGCTTCAGATAAATATAATGATAAAAACCATATGCTTAGATTTGAAAAGCAATGACACAATACAAAATAAGAGACTGATGAAGCTGAAAAAGTGAAGCTGAAAATTACTTTAAAAGGAGTATTTAGTAAGAACTGCCATCCTGAATCAATTTAATGTCTTAATGGTTGGGTCCTGTGTAATCACATAAATATCTTGTTATCTAATCATAAGAGGCTTATTAAAGCAGAAGTTTATTTTTCCATTTCTCTTCACATCATTTTTATCTTTCATGTTACTTTCTCATTCTGTGGAATCCTCTTCAAGAAAGCTAATTTTTGTTTATGCAAAATATGCTTGTTATGGACTCTATCACATCTTTACTAATCCCTTACTATTGTTCTGTGATGCTAAATCCTTCTATGATTCTAATTAGTGTGCCCCTTCAGTAGTACTTGGGTATTCTATGTATGATATCTGAAATAGAAGTAATTAAAGGAGATAGGGTACAAGAAATCTTCAAGTGTGACGATCCTGATAGAATAAAAATAACTGTTACAACATTTTGAGTGGGGTTTCAGCAGCATCTCTTATCCATGGAATTTACCATAACCTATTTACCTGGTCTCCCCATTTCAAAAATAACGATCTTGTCTCCAGTTTTCAGTTCAGTTCAGTGATTCTTTTAATGACATTTGACAAGGTTCTTTCTAATGCAGAACTTCTAAAATACATCTCCTAACTACCAAGGAAGAATATCTTTCCAGCCCAAATCAATCCAGTTGTAGGATACATGTATTTATGGAAAATGAAATATATTTAGTTGCACTTTCCAAGTGATTTATTATTTGATAATTTTTTAATCCTCATTTCTGATTGATTGGCATTTGGCAGTTATTCCCCAGACTCTCCATTGAGTGACTAATGACCAATAAACAAAATGTGCCAAGGAAATTGTAATTTAAAGAAATGCTGCCAGTTAAGAAAACTTGTTTGTAAAGTAAGTATGATTTTATAATGTGAATAACAAGTTCCTAACTTATCTGGGTTTATATTTAGATTTCTGCAGAACACTTTTCTTAAAGCATAACCTTAAGGCTGTACCATAAATGAAAAGCAAGTCCATATTAAAGCCCTACTTTAACTACTTAACGTTATTGCACTTTATTTGTGCTTCACAGATACAGTATTTTTCACAAATTGAAGGTCTGTGGCAACCTTGTGTCAAGTAAGTTCCTATTTCCAATAACACATGCTCATTTTGTGTCTCTATGTACATATTGGTAATTCTTGCAATACTTCAAATTTTTTCATTATTATTATATCTGTTATGGTGATCTGTGATCACTGATCTTTGATATTACTATTATAACTGTTTTGAGGCACCACAAGTTGTGCCAAAATAAGATAGAAAACTTAATCAGTAAATGTTCTGTGTGTTCTGACTGCTCCACTGACTGGTCATTCCCTTGTCTCTGTCCCTCTCCTTGGGCCTCCCTATTCCCTGAGACACAACAATATCGAAATCAGGTTAATTAATAACCCTAGAGAAAAGAAGAGTCACACAACTCTCACATGAAATCAAAAGCTAGAAATAATTAAGCTTAGTGAGGAAGGCATGTCAAAAGCTGACCTAAGCCAAAAGCTAACCCTCCTGTGTCAAAGTTAGCCAACTTGTAAATGCAGAGGAAAAGTTACTGAATAAAATTAAAAGTGCTACTCCAGTGAACACAAGAATAATATGAAAGTCAAACAAGCTTATTGCTGATATGGAAAGAGAAAGTTTTAGTGGTTTGAGTAGATCAAACCAGCTACAACATTCCCTTAACCCAAAGCCTAATCCAAAGAAAGGCCCTAACTCTCTTCAATACTATGAAGGGTGAGTGAGATGAGGAAGCTGCAGAAGAAAAGTTGGAAGCTAGCAGAGGTTGCTTCATGAGGTTTAATAAAAGGAAGCTATCTTCATAACATAAAAGTTCAAGGTAAAGGAGCAAGCCCTGATGTAGAAGCTGCTGTAAGTTATCCAGAAGATATAGCTAAGATCATTGATGCCATCTAGGACTTTTGGAGTAGGAGAGAAGTCAATGCTTTGCTCCAAGGCTTCAAAGAGCAAGCTGCAACTTGGATGGAGCTGGAGGCCATTACTCTAAGTGAAGTAACTCAGGAATGGAAAGCCAAATACCATATGTTCTCAGTTATAAGTGGGAGTTAAGCTATGAGGAAGCAAAGGCATGAGAATGATATAATAGACTTTGCGGGCTTGGCAGGGAAGGTTTGGAGAGGTGAGGGACAAAAGACTACATATTGGGTACAGTGTACACTGGTTAGGTGATGGGTGCACTAAAATCTCAGAAATCACCACTAAAGCACTAATCTATGTAATCAAAAAACACCTGTACCTCAGAAACTATTGAAATAAAAAAATGTTTAAAAAAAGCAATCTGACTCAAGAGTTAGGGGCTAATGCAGCTGGTGACTTTAAGTTGAAGCCAATGCTTATTTCCCATTCCAAAAATATTAGGATCCTAAGGAATCATGGTAAATCTACTCTGCCTGTGCTCTATAAATTGAATAACAAAGCCTGAATGACAGCAAATCTGTTTACAGCATGATATACTACATATTTTAAGCCCACTGTTGAGACCTACTGCTCAGAAAAAAAAAAGCCTCCTTTCCTAATGCAACTGCTCATTGACAACACACTTGGTCATCTAAGAGTTCTGATGGAGATGTATAAGTAGATTAATAACGTTTTCATGCCTGTTAACACAACAGCCGTTCTGCAGACTATGGATCAATAAGTAATTTTGACTTTCCATTCTTATTATTTAAGAAATACACTTTGTAAGGCTATAGCTGCCATAGATAGTGATTCCTCTGACGGATCTGGGCAAAGTAAATTGAAAACCTTCTGGAAAGAATTCACTATTCTTGATGCTGTTCATAACATTCGTGATTCAAGGGAGGACGTCAAAATGTCATCATTAACAGTATTTTGAAAGAAGTTGACTCCACCCCTCATGGTTGACTTTGAGGGGTTCAAGACTTCAGTGAAGGATGTATCTGCACAGCAAAGAAAGCAGAATAAGAAGTGGAGCCTGAAGACATGACTGAATTGCTGCAATCTCTTTATAAAACTTTCACAAGTTAGGAGTTGCTTCTTAGGGATTAGCAAAGAAAGTAGTTTCTTGAGGTGGAATCTACTCTTGGTGAAGATGCTATGAATATTGTTGATATGACAAGAAAGGATTTAGAATGTTACATAAACTTAGTTGATAAAGCTGTAGCAGGGTTAGAGAAGATTAACTACAATTTTGAAAGTTCTACTGTGGGTAAAATGCTATCAAACACCATCAAATGCTATGGAGAACTCTTTTGTGAAAGGAAGAGTCAATCAGTATGTCAAACTTCATTTCTGTCTTTCTTTGTTCAATTGCCACAGTCACCACCACCTTGATCAATCAGCAGCCATCAAATTCTGAGGCAAGACACTCCACCAACAAAAAGATAATGACTCGCTGAAAGCTCAGATGCTCATTAGCATTTTTTAACAATAAAGTATTTTTAATTAAGATATGTACATTATTTTTAGACAATGCTATTGCACATTTAACAGACTATAGTATAGTATGAACATAACTTTTATATGCACCAGAAAGCCAACAAATTTGTATGAGTCACTTTATTGTGATAGTCCTTTTAATGTGGTGGTCAAAACCATGCCTGCAATATATCTGAGGTATTCCTGTATATGTTATTGGCAGACTCTGCAATATAGTCACTTACTGCATCAGTTTGCTTGAGAATTAGGGGCTTTCGAGAATGTTGGACTTTCAATGCTAAAACCAGAAAGTCCCCAGCAAACTGGGAGAAGTTGTTCACCCTATTCTGAAGCTACCTTAGTTATGATTTCCTTCTACTCTTTTCCTGCTTAGAAAGGCAATCTTCTCACTTTTGAGCATGTAGCTAGCAGTATAAACTATAAAGAGAAGATTATCACAAAAACTACTTTCAGGTACCATTTGTGCCCAACTTTACATTTAAACATTATGCTATACAATGTAAGAAGCACAGAACAAGACAGGAAAAATGATTTATTGCTAACAGGCAGATTTTGTTTCTTTCTTTGAGCTTATCTTTACAGTTTAATTCTTCTGCAATTGTTACTCATTATTTATGCTTTTAAAAAATTGCCCTGTTACCTTATGATCCAGCAATTCCACTCCTAGGTATATATCCAAAATAACTGAAAATAGGGACTCAAACAGATACTTGTACACCAATGTTCACTGCAGCATTATTCACAATAGTCAAAAAGTGGAAACAACTCACATGTCCCTCGAGAGATGGATAGATAAGCAAGACTTGTTATATACATACAATAGAATATTATTCAGTCATAAAAAGGAATGAAATTCTGACATATGCTACAAAATGGATGGACCTTGATGATATTATGCTAAGTTAAATGAGCTAAATACAAAAGGATTAATATATGATTCCACTTATATGAAATATCTAGAATAGGCAAATTCATAGACAGAAAAAGTAACCTGGAGTTTACCAGGGGCTAGGGAGAGGGAGAACGGGGAGTTACTGCTTAATGGTTATGAAGTTTCTGTTTGGAGTAATGAAGAAGTTTTGGAAATAGTAGTAATGATTACACAACATTGTGAATGTAATTACAGTCATGTGCCACATAATCATGTTTTAGTCAATGAGAAACCACATATAAAATGGTATTCTCATAAGATGATAATGGAGTGGAAAAATTCCTATCACCTAGTGATGTCATAGCTGTGGTAACTTTGTATTGTGATACATTACCTTTTCTATGTTTAGAAAGGTTTAGCTATGCAAATACCATTGTGTTACAATTGCCTACAGTATCTATTCAGTACGGTAACATGCTGTACAGGTTTGTAGCCTGGAAGCAGTAGGCTATACCACATAGCCTAGGTATGTAGTAGGCTATACCATCTAGATTTTTGTAAGTGCACCCTATGACATTTGCACAATGATAAAATAGCCTAATAATGAATTTCTTAGAATGTATCCCTGTTATTAAGTGACATATGACTAATGTGACTGAATTGCACACTTTAAAATGATAAATTTTATGTTATATATATTTTACTACAATATAAACATACCGAAAAATTACATCTAAGGAATGGAAAAAGTCAACAAGGAAAATGTAGGCAAAGTATTCAAGTTTATGGCTAATCTAGTAATAAAACCATTAAACAAGCTGGGTTTGCTAAACTCAGAATTATATCCGGTGAAATATGAAGTGGATCTCTCTCTTATGCCTTCAACATATCTCCGTTTTCTATACTTAGATCTCTAGTCAAAGGTTAAGCATTTTCCAAATATATTCTCTATTACGAGTACCTTAGACATGTGTGGGTGAGATTAGCTGCTTAAGTACCAGAGGAGAGGTAGCTCTTCAATTGAAACTAATGAGTAATAACCTATGTACTTAATAACACCAGTCTTCAGAAACATAAGTCATCTCAGACTTGAGGTACAAAAAAATGCACTTCAGAGTTGAAATATACCAGGAAGAGGCCTCTTTCAGGCTTCATCCTACAAGGCTCCATAAACTCAGAATCTTGTTTCCAACTATCCATTCCTATAGTAACTCTCTCCCAAATTGTACCTGCAAAAGGTTCTTTTGCATATATTAATAGATGTCCAATTTTTCTAGCACATCTGTTGAAAAGATTATATTTTCTAATTGAATCACCTTGGTACCTTTGTCAAGAATCAGCTGACTATATCTGGCGAGGTCTAATTTTAGACCCTCTATTCTTTTCTTTAAAATAATTTCAACTTTCATTTTAGATTCAGGAGCACATATGCAGGTTTGTTATCTGGGTATACTGTGTGATGCTCAGGTTTGGGGTACAATTGATCCCATCACCCAAGTACTGAGCATAGTAACCAATAGTTAGTTTTTCAACTTTTGTCCCCCTTCCTCCCTCCCTCTTCTAGTAGTCCTCACTGTCTATTGTTGCCATCTTTATGTTCATGAGTACCCATTGATTAGCTTCCACTTATGAGAACATGCAAAGACCCTCTGTCTTATTGTTTATCTATATTTCTATCATTATGCCAAAATCAAAGCACCATGTATCTGATTTTAAGACACTATAATTTCTCCAACTTTGTTCTTTATTTTCAAAATTTGTCTATACTAGATTTTTTTTTGTTTCTTTATAAATTTTAGAATGAATTTTTCAATTTCTACCAAGGAAAGCCTGCTAAGATTTTGACATCTTAACAGTATTGAGTCATCCAATTCATGAGCATGGTATATCTCTCCAACTGTTTAGATTTTCTTTAATTTCTCACAACAATGTTTTGTAGTTTTAAGAGTACAGGACTAGTACATATTTTACTAAATGTATTCCTAAATATTACACAGTTTTTAATACTATTACAAATGGTGTTGATTTCATTGAAATTTCTAATTGTTCATTGTAAGTACCCTAAATTATTATTATGCACAGTAGTTATGTTCTATAAAGTCTCCACAAACCTGAATTAGCAAATACTAAACCATTGTTCCTAGGGAAAATAAAGATAAGGTTCCTGCAAGTCTCTGGTAATCTTTTTATCAACAGATCAGTACATAATCTTGTTTTATGCATATTTATGCTTAAAGACATGTTATTTCTTATATATTGTTGACTCATTAACATTGAACTCATAGCCAACAACACTGTAACTCATGCCTGAACAAAGCTTATTTGACACACATATTTTCTTTGTAAGGCATATCACAACCTTCCTGCACTTAAGAATACTAGACAGCACTTCAGCAATATGATTGGGGGACATTTTGAACAGCAAAACCACCCAAAAAAACAAAAATTATGCAAAAAGTGGCATTAAATAGAGCACAAAAAGGGCACTTGTTTATAGTATGAGAGATGAAATAAGAAGACAGAGCATCATCTTGTTCAACATCAGCAGGGAATATGAGCATCAGGTGACTTAAATTTTTCACTGCTCTGTGCATGTCCACAAGTGAGTGTGAGAGTGCCAGGAGTATACATTTGGGGGTTACAAATAAATTAAAATTGCCTAAAACTATAGGCAAATTCCAAAGTACAGAATCTGCTAAAATGAGGATGGTATATATAAATAGATTTCGTTTTCCAATTGTTTACACAATTCATATTGACCTTGTATGCTGTGACTTTGCTGAACTCACAAGTTTTAGTCATTTTTTGGAGAGGTCTTAGGATTTTCCACATAGATTATTTTGTAATCTGTAAACTCTTCTATACTGATTTTCTGCATACATCTCCCATCAATTATTAAGAGAGGAATGTTGAAGTCTCCAACTATAATTATGGATTTCTATTTCTCACTTCAGTTATATGAGTTTTTGTATCATGTATTTTAAATCTCTGCTATTATGCACATACATATTTGTAATTGTTATGTCCTTTTCATATATTGATCAATTTATCATTATCCCTAGTAATATTCCTTGTTCTGAAATTTATTTTATATAATATTAATATAATCACCCCAGCTTACTTTAAAGTGGTGCATGCATATTATGTCTTTATCTATTTTTAATTTATCTGTCTTTAGCATTAAAGTTGCTTTCTTAGAAACAGCATATAGCTGGGACTTGATTTTTAATCCAATAAGACAATCTCTTCCTTTTAGTTGGATTCTTTAGATCATTTATATTTAGTGTGAATATTGATATGGTTGGCTTTATATATCTAGCATCTTATTATTTGTTTTCTATTTGTCCCAATTATCCTTTGTTTCTTTTTTCCATTTTCCTGCTTTCTTCTGGAGTAATTGGTTATTTTTATAATTTCACTTTATTTTCATCATGGTCTTATTAGTTATATCTCTTTGTTTTATTTTACTATTGCTCTAGGATTTGTTAAGGGATAATGAGAACACCACTCAATACCTCAAATAAAAAAATGAGAAAAGAAGGGCCATGCTGATTAGACAGACACAGTATCTCAAATTAGAGCAGATGACTGATTATATATTTATTTAAGGGAAGTGTGGAGCTCAGGGATTGGCAGACCTTAAGAGGAAAAACTAGATCAAGACTGACATCATCCATAGAAGTATGGTTACTGATATCCATACAGATGATAACATATCATCTGTAGAGTTCATCCTAGATTGACTGACTTCGCCAGTGAGGCGCTGAAGCTGAGGTGACTTGCTGATTGATTAAACAGGTATAAAACCAGTTCTGGTAGCTACTGATTACCAGGGTTAAACTTTTTTCTAAATTTTAGAAATTGTTTAAAACTTCGCATGTTTTAAACATATCTCTCTAATTTATCACATCTACCTTCAAAAAATATTATAATACTTCATGTATATCATAAGAATCTTAACACAGTACACTTCCATTTCTCCCCTTCTGTCTTTCATACTATTATGATGTTATTTTATTTCTGTATATATTGTTATTCACAAAACATATTGTTCTTATTTTTAAGTAGTCATCTTTTAAAGAGTATTTAAATGAGAAAAATGTCCTTTATATTTACCTATATATTTGTCATTTTCAGTCCTTTTCATGTCTTCACATAGATTCATATTTCCATCTAGTCTAATTTTCATTCTGCTTAAAGAATTTTGTTTTACATTCTTGCAGTGTAGTCTGCTGCTGCTGAATTGCTCTGCTTTTTTAAAAATGGGACTATCTTTTTTTTTGCCTTTATTTTTTGAAAGATATTTTTGTTGGGTATAAAATCCTAGGTTGACAGATTTTTTCCCCCTTCCATACTATAAAGATGCTATTCCATTATCTTCTGGTTGCGTGTTTTTTTAACAAGAAATATGCTATCATTTATATATTTATCCCTCTTCATGTAACTTATCTCCAGCTGCTTTAAGATTTTGTCTTTGTCACTGGACTTCAGAAGTTCCTTGGGTGGTTTTCTTCTGCTTCTTCTACTTGGGATACATTAAACCTCTTGGATATATGGACTTACAGAGTTTATCATATTTGTACTTTTTTACTGTTATTTCTGCAAATATGTATATATCCCTCCTTCTTGTTTTCTCCTTCTGGGCTCCAACTACATGTATAGCAAATCACCTAATAGTGTTCTGCAAATCACTGATTTTCTTGTTACTGACATTTTTTCTTTGTATATTTCATTGTGGTAAGTTTATACTGTGATGTCTTCATAAACACTAATCTTTTATTCTGCTAAATTCTAGTTACCCATTAATCCCACTTATTTTTCATTTCTGACACCGTATTTTTTATTTCTAGAAGTTCATTTGGAGTCTTTTTTATATCTTGCCTTTCTTTCATCATTTTTATGCTTTCCTCTCCCTTCTAAAACACATGGAGATAGGTGTTTTAATGTCCTTGTCAGATAATTCCATTATCTTTGTGGTTTCTGGATATGCTTCTATTGATTTTTCTCCTGGTTATGAGTAGTACTTTTCTTCTTCTTTAAATGTCTGGTAATTTTTGCTGAATGTAGGACATTCTGAGGTTTTTGTTGTTGGGTATAGGTATGTCATATTTCTTTAACTATTGCCAAGTTTGTTCTGGGATGAACTTAAGTTACTTGGAATCATTTTGATCATTATTTTGCTCTTAAGTTTTGTTAGTGTGGATTCTAAGCAACTTTTAATCTAGGGTTAATTTGGCCTCATGATTACGGCTATACCTCTCCAAAGATTCTACTTTAGACTCTTTATATTAGGAGGTCTTACCACTCTGGCTAGTGAGAACACCAACTATTTCCAGGCCTATACAATCTACCTACTCCTTTCCAGAGTTCTTTACATGACTTTAGGTAATTTTCTTACATACATAAGCAGATAATTTATCATCCAAAGACGCATGGGTTCTCTTTGGAGATACCAGAAGATCCTTCTCCGTGCAGGTCTCACCTCTCTCGTATTTTGCCCTGCAAACTCTAGCCACCTTGGTCTGTCTAAACTGCCAACTCTGCTTTTTAAACTCAGCCTGTCCGTCTCTGTGTGGGTTTCCCTTCCCTGTGCTGCATTCTAGAAATTCCTTCTAGGTAATGAACTGTTAGAATTGTAGGGTCACCTCATTTGTTTTCTTCATCTCAGGGATAACTGCCCCGTACCACTTGTCTAATGCTTGAAACCTACTGTTTCATCTACTTTGTCCAGTTTTATAGCTGCTTAAGGAAGGTGAGTGAATATGGTTCTTGTTATCCCATCATGACCAGAAGTTCCCTGAGGGGTTCTTTTTAATATAAGACATTTTTTACACAGGTGTAAAGTTTAATTGAAATATATGCGTGTATATATATATATATACACACACACACACACACACAGGCGTGTGCACGCACACACACACACACACAAGAATATTATTCAACCTCAAAAATGAAGGAAATCCTGCCATTTGCAACAACATGAATGAACCTGGAGGACATTATGCCAAGTGAAATAAACCAGACACAGAAGGACAAATACTACATGATGCCATGTGTTATGAGAAATTGAAAACAGTCAAACTCATAGAAAAAGAGTAGAATTATGGTTACCAGGGACTTGAGTGAGGAGGAAATGGTAAAGTATTAGTCAAAGGATACAAAGTTTCAGTTAGATGAGATGATTAAGTCTTAGAGATGCACTATACAGTGTAGTGCCTACAGTTAAGAGTACTGTATTTAATATTTTAAAATTTGCTGAGAGGGTAGATCTTATATTAAGTGTTCTTATCACAAAATAATAATAATAACAATACACAAAGAAGCCAGGAGGAAACATTTGTAGGTGGTGGATATGTTTATGGCATAGATTGTGATAATGGTCTCATAGGTGTATACTTATCTTCAAACTCATTAAGTTTTATACGTTAGGTATGTATACCTTTTTGTCTGTCAATCATACCTACGTAATAATCCATCATACATAATACAGTAATTTTTTTAATAAAATAATTTAATCATTTTTAAAGGACAGGTGTTTTGCTTTGTTTTTTTGTTTAATAATTAATTAATACTTAAATTAATGTTTAATCACGCATAGTAGTTAAGTGCATGGACACTGGAATCAGGCTGTCTCAATCTTGGTCCCACCATTTACAAGCTGTATGAGACTGATTCATGTACTCATTCCCTCTTTGCCCCTGCTTCCTCATCTGTAAAATGAAAGTGATAATAATATCAATTTTATAGGGCTGTTGTGAACATTAAATGAACTATATGTGTGTAAAGAACTATATCAATTATCTATTGCTGCATAACAAGCCTGTATTACAAAATATTCCAAAACTTATTTGCTTAAAATAAGAACCATTTATTTAGCTCACAATTGGGTAGGTCACAGTTTGGGCTGTGCTTCTCTGGGAGTTTCTTCCCCTGGTCTCAGTGCAGCTTACTCCAGTGTATACAGTCCATCATTGACCAACTATTCATCCTGCTTCTGGAGTTTAGCTCATTGTTGGCTCTAATGACGGACGTAAGTAGATCTTGTGCCCCAATCCTCCCACAGAGTAGCCTGGGCTTATTCACAGGACTGTTCAGGCATCTAAGAGCAGCAACAGAGCAACTCCACTACTCAAGCACTTTTAAAATCCACCTGTGTTACATTTGCTATTTTTCTCATTTACCAATACAAGTCATACTTGCCTAGCCCAGAGTTAGTATAGGAAGTTACCATCAGTGGTATAGATATGGAGAGGGGACAAATTTGTAGACATTTTTGAAATATACCATAGAACATAGCAAAATTGTAACTATTTAATACATGTTATTTTTTTCTTTACATTATTGTAATATATCGTAAATACAATAAGCACATACTAGTTATTATTTACAAATAATAGATAGTAATAAAAATCATGTAGCCAAGGCATTATTTATTAAGTCCATCACATCAGCACGCTGTTACGGCTAAAATAAATGTCTTTGTCTTGGTCCAGCTGATCTTTTCACTCTGCCTCTGTGCAATTATTACAACTTCAGGGGACATCTCTTGCCTCCAGTTCTACAATCACGTTCTGCTGCAAAATCCCTTCTCTCTGCACTATTCAGTGAGAACAGTTGTATAAATCACCCAGAATGTTGGCAAGAAAAGAGCTACTTCTGGGCTGAGTGCTTTTTGGAAAAAATCTTTCCTGCTACCCAGAAGTCATTTACATAGGTTAATTCCTGGGGGTTAAAATCCATGGCACCCCTTTTGCTGCTGCAGCTGTGAGAAAAACTGCCTTTTTGCAGCATCACAGAGGGATTACTGCTTAAGCATTTTATGCACACTTACATGCAGGCACTCCTGGCATCAGAAATACTGTTTATTGGCCCTGCACATTTAGGTCTGAATAGCCCTCCCTCCCTGGATTTGTTATTCCCCTGACACCAAATGTCACATTTATTGCCCCAATGAAGTATTGCCTGAATCCTCCTGGATCAAGCACTCATCTGCAAATCATTGCTCAATCATTCTCTGGTCCTACATTCCCAAACTCGATTTAATCACAGATAAGTGTGTTCACAGCCCACAAGTCTTCACTGAACCTCAATAACCTACAAGTCACCTACTCATCTGCGGCAGGATGATTCACTGAGATATTTATTTTACCTCGTTCTTACTGCAGTAGGAGAATACAAAGAATAACAAAGAATAAAAGGGAAATTTTCCTCATCCTTCCTCCCTTCCAAGAATAATCATGTCCCTGTGATCAGTCTCCCTTGATCTGTGGGAATTATTGTAGTAGATTCTTTGTTTTCCAGAAGAGACCCTGAAGGCAACACCCTTCCCACTACCCCAACCTCACTCTAGATCTTTGGGAAGAAGCTGGTACTTGGGAAACAGGGATTAACAGCCTGAACTCTGGAGAGAGAGAGGGCAAGAGAGAGAGAGAGATTCCTACAGAGAGAAAGAGTTTGGGGAAGGGAGGGGAATACTGTTTATTTCAAGTGTGGATAGACGACTTGAACCCCTTTTCCATGCAGCGGCCCAGAAGTGATAAGACTTCTGATGTGGTAACACATGGGTAGCATGTGCCAGGGCCTTTGGAGCCATGGCCAAAATTTTGTAAGGAAGTATTCATATTCAAATGGGACAAGTACAATTGGGCAATGAACATCTTAGCAGCAACTGTGAGAGAATAAAGACCTGAGTCCCTTTTTTCAAGTTTTCTACATTGTATGAGCCCTAGTAAGGAAGTAGTAAGGAAACAGCTCTGTCCAGCCTCCTCTGTCCCATATGCCTACAATTAGATTTCCTCCTAGCCCTAGCATGATCAAGCCAGAAAACAAGGCTATGTATTACCTTTCTTTTAGTCAAGGTGCAAAATTATAGTGATATACCAAAAAATAAAATCTTCATCAAGTTTCTAGGAACTGGTTTTCTAAGCTATTTTCCATCCTTGTAGTTTTTGGTTTCATGCTAGTCACCAGAAATCCAGGGATAAGAGAAGATACACAGTAGTAGCCAGGAGTTAGTGGGAGGCTAATATGTCAGTGCTAAAATCTCATCTAGATCTGGTACACAATAGCTAGCTGACTGGCACCAGCAGGCCTGTTAGCAGGTGTGAGATAAAGAGGATTGGGATCCTACCACGGCTCAAAAAGCAATTACACAGAAATGTTGCTGCAGGACTTAACATTAAAAACTCTCCATCAGTTCTAGTTGGCTCTACTCACCAGTCCAAAGGCAATTTTCTCCCAAACTTTAAGCATTATAGATTCCCTCTTTCCCCTTGAACCTGAAAATCCAGCTGTGTTCTCTCGCCTCTGACATCAGCATTACTGGCTTTGATACAGCCAACCATCTGGTTGATGAGGCATGAGGCAGAATGGAATCCAGCTAACTGTTCCCTGCTGTTTCCACATGAACATTACAAAATCCACTGGCATCAGCATGGATGGGGAGCTGTGACCCAGACTTACAAGGAACTAGCACATTAAATGACCCTGGGTCATGATTTCTGATGACCATGAAGGACCTTTTCATGTTGAGATGAAGGTGGCTCTTGTGATAACCTGGAACTTGGCAAACACTTTTTAGTCAGATGATCTTTACAGGAAGTTCACCAGATGATATGACATCTTCAGTACAGGTGGTAGATTAGGAATCTAGACTACCGAGAAAAGGAGTTTAAGGTTTTTAGCTATTTCATTGTTTCAAGTATGAAATGTATCTGTTCATTTATTGTTTGAATTCACATTTCTGCATAAACTGCTTTTATTTTTTTCCTACTCCTTTTCAACATCATATCTGTAAGAACAAAATTTCTACCCATCAGTGTAAAGCATTTTTTCACCTCCCACCCCCAGCCTCACTCCTCCAGCGTTTCTGTCATTTCTGACTTTGGAAATTATAAAGGGAGACGAGAGACAATAACAACAACAGCAACAACAACAAAAACAGGAGTACAAGTAAGAAGGGCAATATGATTTTGTAATTAGAGAACCTGGATTTAGTCTGTTCTGCTATTTACAAAATAAAGTGGTCTTTGTGTACCATCATTTGAACTCTGTGCCTCATATTCCCAATCAGTAAAACAGGGAAAAAATAGTAAATGATGAAAGGAGTGGTCTGTGTAAACTAGAAAGCCCTTAGAGATATTATTTATTTATTAAAGGAAAATTGAGAAAAGAATTTTGAACTTCTTTTCATACCAGAAGTAGAAGTAATAAAATTAAAGTTGATAAAGAAAACTAGTTTTTCCTTTTCATTTTTCTCATGAGCCTTGAAGTTGGGTCTATACCTGTTTGGTTTACTGCTTTCATTACAGAGATGAAGTATCTGAGTAGGTTTTCCCCAACGTAAGTAGAGTTCTCTCTCTCTCTCTCTCTCTCTCTCTCTCTCTCTATCTCTCTCTTTCCCTCCCTTCCTCCCCCACCCCCCATCCCCACCTTTCTCCTTTCTCTCTCCCTCTCTGCAGGGAATAGAAATTTGGGATTCAGGAAGCAGCACCCGTCCTCTTCTCATTTACCTGCTCGTGTCCAGTCTGTGTTTCCTGGACTGTCCAGTTGTCCTTCTCTAGTTCTCCTTTGAAACTAAAATATATTTAAAAAAAAAAAAAAGGCCATCCACAGCCACAGCCTTGCTCAATGTGACTATGCAAACCTATTTTATTCTTACTTTGTATTCAGGACACATGCACTCCTCCTCCTGTAGTATTTGCTGATATACTTTGCACTCCAGCTGCTGCAATATTTAAATCAGTGATTCAGTACACAGACCACACAATGTGCCACTACACTCCAACAGGCAAGGTCTGTCTCTCCATGGGGACAGAGGATCTAAGCATCTGTCATTCTCCTCCCATCACTTATAATTAACCACACACCCCTTTACACATATAAATATTTATGTGCAAAAATAAAATTCCCTGGTGCTTTAAGCCAATCTCTCTTCCCTCAGTGAGCTTCGAAAGTTGCCAAAATAAATTTGTTACTTAATTCGAGACTCTGTAAGAAACTCTTTAGTGTTAAGAACTTATATTATTCTGAGAAAATAATTTCAAACCTCAGACTTCTAGAATGTAAGCTCCATGCAGAAGGGATCTTTGTCTCTGTCACAGATACATCCTATGTGTTTAGAAGAGTCTCTGGGATATGGTGTGAGCTCAATTAATATTTTTTAAATGTTGAAGGATGAAATGTACAGGAATCCCAATTACAATATACGATTCTGTTGTTTAGGATGAAGAATTTAAGACTAGTATTCTAGGCAAACATTGCAGAACCTGAAAGTACTTTGATATTAAATGAGAACAAGCCAGAGTGAGAAATAATCATGAGACATAAAGTTTGCCTATTATTCAGTCAACAAATCATTATTAACTATTGACAAACATCATCACATTAGATCCTGAAGCAATAACAAACAATAAATAATTGTCCTTACCCTCAAGGAACTCTTGGCTTGTATGTGATTTGCAAAGGATAGTTTATGGGTTGCCTATCAGTATTTGTTAAAAGTACAGATTCTCAGTTCCCATCCCAAACTTATTGAACCAGAGTCACTGACGATAACCATTGGAATCTGTATTTTCAATTTGTTAGCCAGGGAAAACTTATGAACACTAATGTTTGAGAAGGTAGTCTAGTGGAACTCAAGTTATTTGACTGTTTCTCAGGAATTATGTGGTCTCTGCTACCATTCAGGTTAGGTTTACATTGTCAAGCCCAAACATCTCTTAATGAGTGGGTAAAACATAATGATATTAAAATAACATAATCAGCCAGGCACAGTGGCTCACGCCTGTAATCCTAGCACTTTGGGAGGCTGAGGCGGTTGAATCACCTGAGGTCAGGAGTTCGGGACCAGCCTGGCCAATCTGGTGAAATCCTGTCTCTACTAAAAAATACAAACATTACCTGGGCATGGCGGTGCACTCCTGTAATCCCAGCTACTCAGGAGGCTGAGGCAGGAGAATTGCTTGAACCTAGGAGGCGGAGGTTGCGGTGAGCCAAGATCGCACCACTGCACTCCAACCTGGGCGACAGAGCAAGACTCCGTCTCAAAAAATAAATAAATAAATAAATAAAAACATGATCATTTTAGAGTAATAGTTCAGTATTAGAGCATACATAACAGTCTTCTTTTAAACTAATCCTTACTGGGACTGGTGATTTGAGATGAAGAAAGAAAAAGATAAACATACAGCCCATACTTGTAGACTTTCAGAAACAGACCTAAATCAAATGTCTTACATGTTCTCTAAGCTCCTAAGCTTCTGCAAATAAGTGTTTGAAACTTACCTCAGGCCTCATCAATTTCAAATATTCCAATGTATCCATTAATCTGTTCTGCTCAGCGCTAACTTCAGAATTGACTGACACCTGCACACCTTTTTGCAAAGACTAATTAGGTCCTCAGTGCCGAAAGTATAGTCAGAATCAAGTACCATCTGGCTCAGAATGGTGCTGCCTAACATTCTGAATGTTTAGCTTTAATTACGTGTTTGTGTAATTTTATGCAATTTTCTATGGACTACTGACATAGAACATCTTTAAACAACTTTACTGACCCCCTGTGGATTGGAAAATCCATCTCCCAGTCATTCTTCCCCCACCTGAATGTCTCCTTGTACCTGGATTCAGCAGGAAGAGTCTTTTCCATCCTTCATTTCTCTAATGTCTTGTTCACTTCTACTCTTTTATTTTTACACATTGTTCAATTCTGTAAGTTGTACTGGCTTGTGAATCTTGTCCTGTATGGCTCCTGATGCCTTTAATAGCCATTTTCTCCATTTTAACATTCTTGCTAAACCTCCTCTAACTCTTACCAATTGTTTTTGAAAAGATTTGTAAACATTTAATATTTAATTATTTTCCTTGTTCTGTACCTCAGCACCATGCTATTTACTCTTTCACTAAATAAAGAATTAGTAAATTTGATTGTTTGATTACAATGTAACATTGGTTATTATTTATAGGTTATATTATGCTCTCATGCTTTGTGGAAAAAGCATATTAAATTTAATGCCAGCCAGAAAAAAATGAAAATTGCATTTTTTGGGGAATTGCAAATATTGGTCACTAAGCTAGCTGCAAACACCTCCTTAACATTTTGAAAAATAACAAATTAATAATAATTTGAGATAACACCATTTAATATCTTAATGTTAAACTGTGCATATTTGCTGTTAATCAAAACAATTTTTTAAACTCCAAGTGATGGCACTTAATGTTCTTTTAATTATGCAAGGAGCTAATCAATTTGTCCTTTAAATGGATGTTCAACTGATTAAGAGAAGCTAATCATCAGTTACGAAATCCATAAGGCACAGATGAGTCAGGTTTAAAATGTTTTTTGCTAACTTGGGACCAATAATTCTGTCTCCTTAAATTACCTCTTATTTCAGTTGGGAGAAGTTACTTTCTTTCCTTAAATATGTAAATGTTATACTCTTACCTGTGGAAATTAAAGCCTACTTCAGCCTATAGTTAGGAATCAAATCCAGAATGATGCTGTAAGGGTTCAGTTTCTTATTTTACCCCTAAAGGACAATAACTAAGCAAGGGAATTATGATTCAGCATTAAGAATAGGTTGCTATGAATTAAATAAGACAGTTTAGATGTTTGACTCTCTTTGATACTCTAAAGAGGATTTAGGCATGTTAATTGTTCAGTACTCTAAAAAGATGATTTCATCCGATAACATTCATTTGCTCAACAGGTATTTATTAAACATCTATTATTTGCCAGGTACTGTGCCATACACAAGAAGTGTGAGGGCGCTTAAGGCATAGTTCCTGACCTTAAAGGCCAACTAAGAAACAAAAAGCAACATCATGAAGGATAATTAGATACATTTTTTACCTATTAAGAGTCACTAAAAAAATAAAATGAAACAAACAAGAAAAAGAGGTAGATTCACATAGCAATGTATTATATAATAACTTACACATTAAAGATTAACAGGTGGACAAAAGCTACCTATGTCAGAAAACAAAGCACGGTTCAATGACTCTGAATTCAATGGACTGGCATCAGGATGTGCTTGGCTTCTAATTCTAGGCTGTAGCTATCTCTAATCTTCTGCTTGAGTTTGAGAGTATTTTAATCCTCTTTTTATTTCAACTTTCTCATCTGCAAAAGATCAGTGAACTTTCTATTGTGTAGTAGAGGTCAATTTCAAATCATTTGGAAGAAAACCAGGCCATCTTAAAGGGCTTCTGCACTTGGAATCCAAAAGCAAAGTGCATTAGTCAATCAATCATTCAGTCAGTAAGTACTTATTGATTATCTACTGAGTGCTCTCCAGGGGGCCAGACCCTGATGGGGACACATAGGAGAGGAAACAAAATGGTCACTTTCTTCAATTAGCTGCCACCCTTCTTGGGAAGAAAGCAAACCATATGCAATAACAATAAAGAACAAATGAATGAATAAAAATGTACTGGGTGACACTACATGCCAGAACTTGTTATGCTTTTTAGATTGTAAGGCTCTTTCACATGTTATTTAAGAATGGTCAAGTGTATATAATTAAAAGCTAGGCTATGTAGTCTTTTCAGAGCTACAGAAGGTTGGAGGAGAGAAATATCAATTAAGCTACATTCAGAGATGGCTGTGTTGAAGTTTAGAGGATTTCAGCCAAGATGTTGAGCTATTGTGGAGCAGGTCAAGTTGGAGAGAAAGAAGCACACTCCAGAGGAAAGAGATCTGATGCAAACAAGGCAAGAAGCATAAAAAGCTGATCACAGTGTCCTTACAGGCATATGCTTTTACGGGAACAGAGCTTATAGATGGAAGGTGGGAAACTAGAGGTGGACTTTACAAGACCAATTAAAAATTTGGAAGAATGTCAGTTTAGAAGAAAATGTGTAGGAAGACAAAAAAATGATTGTAAATAGGGAGAGGGTGAAATATCTAGAGTAGGGAGCTGATGTGATAAAAAGAAATTTAAGGGATATTGGTTTTGTAGTGGCAATATAACTACATTTTAAGGTACAGCAGCTAGATCATCAGGATTTTGGCTCTTCTGACCCCATATTTCTACTTTCCGCAACACTTAAGTTACAAATATTGCTCTTATCATTTGTGGAATAACATATCACTTAGAGATTTTAGGTCCGCTATTTGATTTACTGAACCTACAATGACAGATGGCTTAATGCAATATAAAGTGCTAATCCTACTTACCCAATTTGAAGATTGTCATGCAAAATTTTCTCAAAAACAGAACAGTTGTTTATTTGCCCAAACTTCATTTATTCACTGTCTTCCTAACCTTCTGATTCAGGGTTAATTTAAAACAGAATCAGGAAAATAAATGCCATTAGTTCTTTTCCTTCCTTCAATTTCTAGGCACAGTGAGGGCCTAGCAGAGATAGAATAAGGTTAGGAGTCCTGTAGGATCCTCAGCCTTCCATGGGATAAGAAGCTGGAGTCAAAGACAGAAAGAATCAAGATGAGAGCTGCCACAGCAAATCCCCTCTCTGCACACCTGCTGAATGGAGTTGGGAAGGAAGGGAAGAGCAGTAAATAGGAGGAAGCAAAGTGGAGATAAAGTGGGCTCCATGGTCTGCAATCTCTGCTCAATAGAACTCAACCAATTTTCAAATTTAGGAGAGGAGCATGGGGCCAACTCAAGGCCCAAACTCAATTCTGCAACTGCCTCACACATCTAAGGAAACTCCTGGAAAACACCCCCAGCAGAAGCATTTATCGTCTCAATTTTCTCCCTTTCTATATACTTCTACCCCAAATCTCATCCCTTGCCAAAAACCAGTCCTTTTTTATCCACACCCACTTCAATTTTTCAAAGGAGAAAGGAAGGGAGTTCTTTAAACTACACACAGGAGGGGCTGACATTTGATTTTTTTATGGAGAGCACATTTTATAAGTTATGCTTCATTATGTAAACCAGATTTCCTTATATAAACAGGGTCATGGGGGATCTTGATTTCCAACCCTATCTGGAATATTCACAAATGGACTTTACTGCCATATTTTGTCTTTCCCTTCTTTTTCCCGTCCCTTCCTCCCTGGCTCTGCTCTCCTCACTGTATATCTTCTCTCATTCATGTCAGAAAAAAAAACACACAAAACAAGGGAAACTGTGGTCACTTATCTGGAGAAATACTGATGAGACAGTTACTTTCTGGAAAAGGTGGACTGTGCAGGGAACCCCCAAATAAGAGACTCTTATTTCCTCATTGTTTTGTCCATGGCTAAAGGACTTGTCTCTTTTCTACATTGGTGGATCTGAAATTGGGTCACTTTAACCAAGGCACTGTTCATCTAAGAATCATTGCTCCTTTCTTGCCTCTTACCAGAACCCCAGTGGGAATGAGATAACTCATTTCTACCAGAGCATCTTTATCATCAGCCATGGGCCTCTGACCACTGAACACAGCACAGAAATGCTGAGATATCTCTCCGTGTTGAATAGTTAGAGAAAATCATCTAGAGTCTGAATCAAGCTTTCTGAACACTTTCAATATTCTATTTTTTTGATTTCTGAAATCAGGTATACTCCCCTCATTTCTAATTTTTTATTCCTCTCTCCTCTCCTTCTCTCTCTCTGCTTCTCTCTGTCTCTGCCTGCCTCTCTGTCTCTCTCATGTGCATTCTTTCACACACACACACACACGCACATGCACACACACACAAACTCCCCCTCTTTATTCAGTTTTATAGCAAAGAGGTCTTATTCTACCTAGTTCCTTATATTTTCCTCCATTTTAATTGCATGTAAAAACATTAGCAATGCTTCTAAAGCCATAAAGTTTATTACGTGGAAATGTTATACTTTAATTATGTAATAGCACATGGAGAATCTATACAGGGTTTCAGACCAAGTTATGATTACTGCAGCTCAACAATGCCTTAATCCCCCTCTGTGGTCAGTCAATATTGTAATAGGATATGGGTAAGTTTTACTAAATATTATTCAAGTTTAACCATTTGGAATTGGTCTTCAGATGACTTGTGAGTCCCTAGCTTTTCAGTCAAAGGTTCTCTTAAGACAATAATTCTCACTAATCAACAATAATTTTTCATTAACCAATCAATGAACTTCCTGGTAAGAATGTTGACATATATCAGAGTATTAAAATAGAGGAATGAGATAAAGAAGAGAAACCAAGATTGACTTTTTTTCATATACTAGGCACAGTATCAGAAACTCACAAGTTTTAATCTTAACCTCATTGTGATGATTTGAAAGCAGAGCAGGGCACTTATGGCCAACATTTAATGGTTTTTAAACATATGGCTCTATTTGCTCTTCAAGTCTGACAAAGACATATTTCCATGATTTTTATTCCAATGCAGTAATATAGCATTTTATCTGTTATATTAAATAATCTTATGCCTTTTAGCATATTTAAAGTTCGTTTTTTAAATTAAAATACTTTTTACTCTTCTTGTCTCAGAATGTTTCAGACACATGCTTGCTACATCAGACACATTTTACACCCACATTAATCAAAGCACAGAGAAATGATTACTAAAGATGTGAGATTGATAACACTGTCTCTTTAGACATCTAGAGAAAATGCTATGCTGCACAGAAGATAATATTCAACCCACACCCCTACCTGCCCTCCTCCCACTTCTCAGAAGATCCTTGCTAAAACTTTTTACTTATAAGCCAAAAAAGCTATCACTCAAGATGAGAGAATTTGTTGAAATCCTCTTTACAACCAGATCCATTTTTGAGTGTTTATTGAATAAACAAACAAAAAGAATAATCAATGACAAATGTGGTTCCAGAAACTCTGCCCAGATGAACAGAAGTCAGTTTCCCCGAAAGCCATATTTCTTTTCAGTAGCAGAAATGGTCATTGCTTTTACAAAGTTTATTCACATTAATGCTCAATTTTTTTCTTGAAAGCTCATTCATTCTTGATTCAAGAAATATTTATTTGGCATCTATTATGTATCAAACAAATTCAGACTGAGGATATAAAATTCCTCTTTCTCTGGAGCTTATATTCTAGAGCAGCAATGAATAGTAGGATTTAATGCAATGCATGAAAATGTTCTACATCTATGCTGTTCATTATGGTAGTCACTAGCCACAAGCAGCTATGAGCACTTGAAATTGTGGCTATTGCAGCTTGGAAACTGTAGTTTAAATGTTTATTTAATTTTAATTAATTTAAATTTCTATTTAAATCACCATATGTGGCTAGTGGCTACCCTTTTGGACAGTGTAGGTGCAGTGAATGCACAAGTATGTGGTGTGTGTGCATGTGTATATTGAGGGAACGGCAACAGACTCCATAAATATGTAAATGAATAAGAAACGCCAGATTGTAGCAAGTGCAAAGCAGAAAACTGAAATAGGGTGATGTGAAAGACAGTGTTTGGGAGGCTACTTTTGAATGGGTGTTTGAGAAGTCTCTCTGAACAAGTGACTTTAGGCTAGACGTGAATAACAGGAAGGATCCATGAAAAGATCCAGAAATGAGTTTGCCAAATAGAGGGAACAGCTAGTACAAAAGTCCTAAGATGAGAACAAGATTGGTGTTCCAACACCAGGGACAGAGAGAGAACAGGGTGACTGGAGGGTAGAGAGCAAGGGGAGGGCAGAGTTGAATAGAGTTGAAGCTGGAGTGTTATAAATGCACCTGTGTTTGTTTCTTGAAGCTGTTGTAACAAAATACCACAGACTTGGTGGCTTAAAACAATGTAAGTAAATTCTCTCACAGTTCTGGAGACTAGAAGTCTGAAATCAAGGTGTCAGCAGGTTCCACTGCCTCCAAATGCTATAAGCTCTAGGGAAGAATATTTGTCTTTTCCTAGCTTCTGGTGACTCTTTGCAATCTTTGGTGTTCCTTACCTTATAGCTTCATCACTCAAATCATTGCCTTCCCCTTCACATGGCCTTTTCTGTATTTCCCGTCTCTGTGTGTTCTCTCCTCTCCTTATAAGGACACCACTCATTTGATTTAGGTGCATCTAATCCAATATGGCTTCATCTTAATTACATCTGTAAAATTGTATTCCTACCTTCTGAGGACATGAATTTTGGTAAGATACTATTCAACCCACTGCAGCACCCAATTTTGTAGGACTTTGAAGGCCAGATTAAGGAGTTTTGCTTTTATTCTAAATGTGATGAGATGTCATTGGGGCATCTGGAGTAAGAGAATGACTAATAAAATTAATGCTTTACAAAAAATCATTCTGGCTGCAGGGATACTGGATTTTAGACAAAGGTGAAAGAACAGAGACCAGCAAAGCAACCATTGCAGGAGCCCAGACATTAGAGGACGTGGCTTATATAGGGCAGTGCTGGTGGGAGTGGGCAGATTTGAGATTTGTTTTAGAGGTAAAAGGGATAAGATTCACTGATGGATTGAGTGAGGGAGTGAGAAAAAGAAGAATCAAAGACAACTCCTACATTTTTCATTTGAGCAAAAGGAGTGTGATGTTGCCATTTATGTGACAGGAATGAGACAGGCTCTATGGGGTGATGTTAAGTTTAAGAGACCTGTTAGGCCACCACGTTGAGATACCAATTAGGTACAAATCTACAGGTCTGAGGAGTAGTCAAATGTGGAGATATAAGCTTGGCAATTGAGATAAAGAAACTAAGGAACAGAGAGAGGCTAAGAAACTCTCCCGTGGTCACACAGGTAGCAAATGGCAGAGCTGAGATTGGAACCTGGGTAGTCTAGCTCCAGAATCTATGCATTTAACTACTGTGCTATATTCACTGGAACTTAAAAGGAGTTGAGAATTTTGAAGAAGGAGGGCAGAAGTAGCAATGGAGAAAAGAAAGACATCTGTTCCAGTTGATCAGTGTACAAATATAAACTTCATTTATTCAAGCGTGTTTTGAGTAACTCTTCAATTTGAATGTGTGCTTATCTTCAGCCATTTTAAAGGTAGAGACAGTGTTATGGGGGTGTTTTCTATAGAATATGAAGACTTGGACATGGTTAGGTATTTATTAAGATTAAACATTTTTATGTACTATGCGGAAATAAAAAATCAAAACCTATGCAGTGGGATTTATCCCAGGGATGCAAGGATGGTTCAACATATGCAAATCAATCAATGTGATACATCATATCAAGAGTGAAGCACAAAAACCATATGATCATTTCAATTGATGCTTAAAAGCATTTGAAAAAATTTAACATCTCTTCTTGATTTTTAAAACCCTAAAAAACTGGCTATTGAAGGAACACACCTCAACATAATAAAAGCCATCTATGATAGACCCACAGCAACTATAATACTGAATGAGGGAAAACTGAAAGCCTTTCCTCTAAGATGTGGAACAGACAAAGATGCCTACTTTCACCACTGTTATTCAACATAGTACTGGAAGTCCTAGCTACAGCAATCAGACGAGAGAAATAAAAGGCATCCAAATTGGAAAGGAAGAAGTCGAATTATCCTTGTTTGCATATGATATGATCTTGTATTTGTAAAAAACCTATATTTGTAAAGACTCCACCAATAAACTATTAGAATTCAGAAACAAATTCAGTAAAGTTGAAGGATACAAAATCAAAATGTAAAAATCAGTAACATTTTTATATGCCAATAGTGGACAATCTGAAAAGGAATTCAAGAAAGTAATCCCATTAACAATACCTATAAATAAAATAAAATAAAATACCTAGGAATAAACTAAACCAAAGAAGTGAAAGATTTCTACAATAAAAACTACAAAAATATTGATGAAAGAAATTGAAGAGGACACCAAAACTCGGAAAGATATTCCATGTTCATAAATTGGAAGAACCAATATTGTTAAAATGTCCATACCACTCAAAGCAATCTACAGATTCAATACAATCCCTATCAAAATACCAATGACATTCTTTACAGAAATAGAAAAAATAATCGTAAAATTTGTATGGAACCACAAAAGACCCAGGATAACCAAAGCTATCCCGAGCAAAAAGAACAAAACTGGAGGAATCACATAATCTGACTTCAAATTATACTATGAATCTATAGTAACCAAAACAGCATGGTACTGGCATAAAAACAGACATAGAGACCAATGGAACAGAATGGAGAACTAAAAAACAAATCCACACATCAACAGTGAACCCATTTTCAACAAAGGTGCTAAGAATATACATCGGGGAAAGGACAGTGTCTTCAATAAATGGTGCTGGGAAAACTGGATATCCTCATGCAGACAATTAAACTGGATACCTATCTCTTGCCATATACAAAAATCAAATAAAAATGGATTAAAAACTTGAATCTAAGACTTGAAACTATAAACTACTAAAAGAAAACATTGGGGAAACTCTTCAGGATATTGGACTGGGCAAAGATTTCTTGAGTGATACCACACAAGCACAGGCAACCAATGAAAAAAATGGACAAATGAGATCACATCAAGTTAAAAAGCTTCTTCATAGCAAAGGAAACAATCAAGGAAGTGAAGAGACAATCCAAGGAATGGGAGAAAATATTTGCAAACTATGCATCTGAGAAGGGATTAATAACCAGACTATATAAACAACTCTATAGGAAAAAAATATATAATAATCTGATTTTAAAACGGGCAAAAGATCTGTGTGATGGCCAATACTGAGCGTCAACCTGATTGGATTGAAGGATGCAAAATATTAATCCTGGGTGTGTCTGTGAGGGTGTTGTCAAAGGAGATTAACATTTGAGTCAGTTGGCTGGGGAAGGCAGACCCACTCTTAACTGGTGGGCACTATCTCATCAGCTGTCAGCGAATATAAAGCAGGCAGAAAAACGTGAAAAGGCGAGACTGGCCTAGCCTCCCACCCTTCATCTTTCTGCCATGCTGGATGCTTCCTGCCCTCAAACATCGGACATTCAAATTCTTCAGTTTTGAGACTTGGACTGGCTCTCCTTGCTCCTCAAGCTTGCAGACAGCCCACAGTGGGACCTTGTGATCGTGTAAGTTAATACTTAATAAACTACCATATAGATATCCTATTAGTTCTGCCCCTCTAGGGAACCCCGAGTAATATAATCTGAATAGACATTTCTCAAAAGAAGATATACAAATGGCAAACCGGTATATGAAAATGTGCTTTATATCATTGATCATCAGAGAAATGAAAAGCAAAACTATAATGTGACATCGTCTCACAGTTTAAATGGCTTTTATCCAAAAATAGGCCATAACACATGCTGGCAAGTGTGCGGAGAAAAAGAAACCCTAGTATCCTGTTGGTGGGAATGTAAATTAGTACAATCACTATGGAGAATAGTTTGAAGATTCTCCCAAAAAATAAAAATAGAACTATCATATAATCCAGCAATCATACTATAAGGTATGGGCCCAAAAGAAAGGAAATCATTCTATTGAAGAGATATCTGTACTCCCATATTTACTGCAGCACTATTTACAATAGTCAAGATTTGCAAGCAATCCGAGTGTCCATGAACAGACTAATAGATAAAGAAAATGTGGTACATATACACAATGGAGTACTATTCAGTCATAAAAAAGAATGAGATCCTGTCATTTGCAACATTACATGAATGGAACTGGAAGTCATTATGTTAAGTGAAATAAGCCAGGCACAGAAAGACTAACTTCACATGTTCTCACTTATTTGTGGAAGCTAAAAAAAATTAAAACAATTGAACTTATGGAAATAGTAAAATGATGTTTACAGAGGCTGGGAAGGGGAGTGGGGCAGGCAGTGCAGACAGGAATGGGGATAGTCAATGTGTACAAACATATAGTCAGATAAAATAAGATCTAGTATTTTACAGCACAACAAGGCAACTACAGTTAACATTAATTTATTGTACGTTTCAAAATAACTAAAAGAATACAATTGGATTGTTTGTAAATGCTTGAGGTGATGCATAACCCATTTACCCTGATGTGATTATTAAGCATTATATGCCTGCATCAAAATCTCATATACCCCATAGATATAGATACCTACTATGTACCCCCCACCAAATTTTTTTTTAATCCTATGCAGCATTACTTCCTAGAAAGGACAGTTCCACAATCTTCCCTGTTGTGTCTGTGGTGTCTGATTGACTTTAAGACTAATCAAAATATAAAGAATTTATCCAGTGAGAATTCAGAAATGTCCTTACCAAGTACAATCACATAAAAATAATTATTTACTCATACCAACTATCAGAATTAATTTAACTGTAGCAACAGTTGATGTGGCAGCTTCTAATTAATATAGATAAACTTTCAGTGACATTAATAATTGGTGGCAAACTGTAAAATACTTAAGGTTATATAGTCATTGTATTTACTAGCAAGAGAGAATGTGGCATTGGTAGAAAAAGAAAACTTTTAAAAAAGAGGAAAGTAGAAGATTTTAGAAAGATATCATGTGCACTATAGCCTCTTCTATTATGAGGCTTTCCTACTTTTTCCGCCTACGCAGCCCAGTGTGTTGGATGGCAGGAAGCAATGCACAGGTGTTAAGAGTACAGACAGCTCTGGGCTCTACCATATACAGTACTAGATGTGGGACGTTGGGGAAAGTTGTTTAGTTTTTCTTGCCTCCGTCCATTCCTTACCCACTTCTTAGAGTTATGGTAGGACTAAAGTGAAATCACAGACATGAAAAGTGCTTGAAGCACGGCCTGACACATAATACCCCAGCAAATGTTAACCATTTTTAGATTTCCTCACCCTACCTATCTTTCTGGCCTTAGTTTAAAATAATTAAGTATAAGGTGGAAAATACAAAAGGTTTCCAACGTCTAATTCATATTTCGAAGCTGCATAGACTAGACTCTCTTCAGAAGCTCCCGGAGAATGAAAAAGTCTACCCTACTGCCTCTGATCTCATCCATCTCTCTGCTTTTGTGAGCTAAATGTTTTCTGCATGAAATCATTCAAAACCTCCATTGTCAACCAAAAAATTCCACTCCTAGGATTTTATCCTAAGAAAGAATTAAGGATTTATGCTCACATTTAGCTGCAATGTTGTTAATAGTGAGGAAGCAACTTAAAAAAACTTAGTGAACAACAATAGAGGATTCGTGGATAAATTGTGGAGCAACACATGTACAATACGATTTTAAGAAGCTCTAAAAAGAATGTTGTATAAAAATAATAATGAAAAAGAAGTTCATTATATATATATTTAATTTTTAAATAGCAGGCTATGATGCAAGATGTCCCATATGGAACGATTTTTTAAAGTGTATAGGTAGATATAAGCATAGAAAATGTCTGGAAGGCTTTACAGTGACCAAAATGTAGTGCATCACCCACTCACTCCTCCCACTAATGCTGGAATGGTCTACTAGCAAGTCTAGGTAATGGGGCATTCTTGTATAATCTCAGTATAAATCCTCCCTTGCTAAACTGAGACTGGGAGAATAAAGAGGGCATATTGGTTACAAGCTAGAGGTGATAGTCTGTACCTCTCTAATTCTCCCCCTTACACTTCTCAGCTTTGAAGGTTGTGTCCCTGAGGTCTCTCTTGTGGCAGTGTTCACAAGTAGCTAAAGGTGTCATGTATGATGTCAGAAGCAAAGAGTTCTATTTCCTGTGTCAGACTTTGCCCATGGTTACTACCTCTGGGGGCCTTCAATTGATTGTAATCATTTAGGGACTTAAAATTATTAAAATAATAAATGATCAAAATTAATTTCCCTGCCTTTGATCATTATTTGAAATATTTTTAAGAACAAATTTGTAGATCTACTTTATTATTACACTTCTAATTATGAAATAAATGACATTACCATTTTTTTAACCATAATTGGGAAGGCTTATTTAAACGTCGGAAGAGAAAGGGACTGCTGTGTGTTAAGGCAATCGATATTTAAGACCATTAAGACTTCTTACAGACCAGGTGCGGTGGCTCACACCTGTAATCCCAGCACTTTGGGAGGCTAAGGCGGGTGGATCACCTGAGGTCAGAATTCGAGACCATCCCAGCTAACATGGTGAAACCCTGTCTCTACTAAAAATATACAAAAATTAGCCGGGTGTGGTGGCGGGCACCTGTAATCCCAGCTACTCGGGAGGCTGAGGCAGGAGAATGGTGTGAACCAGGGAGGCAGAGCTTCCAGTGAGGTGAGATTGCACCACTGCACTCTAGCCTGGGTGACAGAGTGAGACTCCGTCTCAAAAAAAAAAAAAAAAAAAAAAAGACTTCTTACAATATATTCAGATGGTCATTCCACAGCCTCTGGTAGGAGATTTGTGATTAACCATAAAATTTACTAGTAAAGGTGTCAGGTTCACATACTTTAATGAAGGTGTTATAATATTTGTTCTGATTTCTGAAATCACTTTTCAGTCCCTGGCATTTGGGAGCAAAAAAGAATCATTTTAATGAACATTAAATTACATTTTCTCCAAGTTGTAATGTTTCCAACATGAAAAACTGGAGGCACCCACTAGCCAGTAACTGATAAACTAAGACCAAACCATATAAAATTGCTCATTTTTGACCTATGAAAAAATGGCAATTTCATATGGTTCAACCAAATATGCTACTAAAGATACATAAATGATTTTTTAAACAAAGCTTCCTAAAAGCATTTTTACCCAGATATATTTGTTACATACAACATTTTGTTTTTTAATGTGGCATTATCAAGAGTTTTATAATCACTCTGGTTTAGCCTCACTATGTTCTAAGGGAATAAGTTATGTAACCTGCTCTAGGAAGTAAACGGGTTAAATGGGCAACTAGGGAAAGAGCTCCAGTGCGGAAATAATCTTATTATTCATTCAAAAAATATTTCTTGAACACCTATTCTGTCAGACACTATACCAAGTACTGAGAACACATCAATGACCAATTTCCTTTTAAAAATTGTGGACTAGGCCAGGCGTGGTGGCTCATGCCTGTAATCCCAGCACTTTGGGAGGCCAAGGTGGGTGGATCACTTGAGGTCAGGAGTTCAAAACAACATGGTGAAACCTCGTCTCTACTAAAAATATGAAAATTAGCATGGTGGCACATGCCTGTAGTCCCAGCTACTCAGGAGGCTAAGGCACAAGAATCACTTGAACCTAGGAGGTGGGGGCTGCAGTGAGCCAAGACCGTGCCATTGCACTCCAGCCTGGGAGACAGAGTGAGACTCTACCTCAAAAAAAAAAAAAAGAAAAAAAAAGAAAAAGAGAATAGGGGTCTACCTCTTTACTTAATTCTATGTAAATATTCTCATGAGTTTATTTCTTATTTATATCCTCTGGGACATGTAGCTCCAGCTCCTGGTTATGTTTTTTCTCATACTGATAAGATATGATTATTATTTATTTTCTTATATCTGATTATGACATCAAAAATATTATGTTTTGCAATTCATAAGTTTATGTTCTTCCTTATGTACCAGTATCACCCTGTTGCATTTTTTATTGTAATGAAATACATATAACATAAAATTTACTTCTTTAAACACTCTCGTTAAATATTTCTTGTTATCAAGTACATAAGAAAAGTGCATCTATGTGCATTAAATCTATGTGCTGTTAACATTGTAGATATACGTACATTGGACACCACATATCCATCTAACATGTAACAAAAGTTCAAAAAGTAGGAAGCTAAATCAAGAAGATTAGTATCTCTTTTGAGAAACTGGCAATCAACACCTGGTACCAACTTGGCAGCAATAATTTCTAGATCAGTATTTCCCAAAACTGTTTGCCCTCAAAACGCATTATAAAGTAGTGATGAAAGGTCAATATGAACCCATGAAATATAATAGTCATTTAGATTAAAGTAAACAGTAGAAACAGTTTCAAGGAAACTGCCTTAAAACAGTCAAAATTTTATCTACATCACAAATATGCATAAGAAAGGCTGAAGATCACTGAATAGTTGACATACATTAAAGTTTAGAATAAGTTGGTAAAATGGTAAAACCTGACTCTGCATTGACTAACAAACTGAGCACCAGTCATTTGTCCTTCAGGTAACATATACAACTTCTTTTGCTCTTAAGATTGCCCACCATTCCTTAAAGACAGACTTACATAATAAGAACAAGAGAAATGTACTTAGTATTTTTCTTACACTTATATTTTTAATGCACTTTTGAAGAAAATATTGCTAACACCAGGTTTTTGGTTTTGGTTTTGGTTTTGCTGAACCTATTAATAACTTAGGACTCTTTGGGAACATTGTTCCATATGCCATGCAAAGCTATAAAATATTAATAAAAAGGGGTTTGGCCATGTGTGGTGCATCCTCCGATTTTTAAAAAAGATTTAATGAACACTGAAAATATCTTCTAATTTTTGTGGTTGTGAGTGATCTAATTCACTTCTTTATCAGATTGGGGCATTAGATAGACAGCTAAGATGACCAGCCGGGCACGGTGGCTCACGCCTGTAATTCCAGCACTTTGGGAGGCCGAGGTGGGTGGATCACGAGGTCAGAAGATGGAGACCATCCTGGCTAACACGGTGAAACCCTGTCTCTACTAAAAATAAAAAAAAAAAAAAAATTAGCCAGGCATGGTGGCGGGCGCCTGTAGTCCCAGCTACCTGGGAGGCTGAGGCCGGGGAATGGCGTGAACCTGGGAGGCGGAGCTTGCAGTGAGATTGTGTCACTTGCAGTGAGATTGTGCCACTGCACTCCAGCCTGGGCAACAAAGCGAGACTCCGTCTCAAAAAAAAAAAAAATAAAATAAAAATAAAAATGACCAGCTAATTAATTACAGAGTTCCTTCTTTAGGCTATAGACTCCAGGAACAAGACAGTCAGAGCTCCTTGTTTATATCCCTAATCAGTTCTTTATTTATTTATACACTTAAGGCACCTAGCATAGTACTTTGCATATAGTATACGTTTAATAAACGTCTGTGGAAAAGAGGCAGTGTGGCTTAGTCAGACATTTCTGGATTCAAATCCTAACTCTACCTCTTACCAGTTGAGCAGCCATAGGCAGATTTGTTAATCTCAGAATTTGTTCATCCTGTACTGTATCATGGTGATAACTTATTCCACAGTTGCTATGAAAATTAAGAGAGATAATAAAGATAATGTGTCCAGTACAAAGTGTGGGCACATAGAAATGAATGTTAGATCCCTTCCCTTACTTTATATAATCTTCACACCAGAGTTAATCCTAAAGAAAAATTATAAAGTGAAGATCCCTTCCACTTTCCCTTTTTTACCCTTCTCCTCAGACACAGTCCTCACCATCTTGCACTGTTATTCATCTCCATTGGTACATAACTGAGATATGGCATTGTGGTCAGGAGACCTGAATTCTTTTTTTTTTTTTTTTTTTTTTTTTTTTTGAGACAGTCTTGCTCTGTTGCCCAGGTTGGAGTGCAACGGCGCAATCTGGGCTCACTGCAACCTCTGCCTCCTGGGTTCAAGTGATTCTCCTGTCTCAGCCTCTGGAGTAGCTGGGATTACAGGCGCCTGCCACCATGACTGGCTAATTTTTGTATTTTTAGTAGAGATGGGGTTTTGCCATGTTGGCCAGGCTGGTCTCGAACTCCTGATTGCAGGTGATCCACCCGCCTCAGCCTCCCAAAGTGCAGGATTACAGGCGTGAGCCACCGTACCGGGCCCTGAATTCTTATTCTATCTTTGCCCTTACTAGTTAAATGTCTTGACCAAGCCATTTGACATATCACGGGTAGGGCCTTAGACAGTTTTATTTACAGATTGGTGGGTTGGGTGTAGTAATTTAAAGCCTTATTATATTAAAACAAACATGGTTATGTTGAATCAATACAAACTTTGTGCAAAGTTTTAAGATAAACCAAGAGATTTCAAAGATATTCCCACTTGTAGTGGGTTACTTTGGGCTAAGTCCCCAGATTCCTGGAGGTTCAAGTTCCCTCTCTTATCATTGGAGATACTTTGTTGAAAAAAGTTGGTGATCTTTCAGGTTTCTTTCAGCTCAGGAATTCTTTCAGCTCATCATTCTTCCCTTTCTCCCCACAAAATTTCAACTTAACCTGATAAACTAGGCATCAGGGAAAAGCTACCGCATATTGCCCAAGGCTTCCAGAGGCAATTTTCTAGGCACAAGCAATTAGCTGCCCTAGGCAAAACTGCACAGTAGGCAAAGACTGCCTCCTCCCTCTCCTGCAGTATCCACCCCCACTACCTGCAGGCTTCCTCACCTGCCTTCAGCTTGCCAGAGCACTCACATCCACCTACGATTCTGACTTCTACCCAAGACCTAAGCTCTAAATTTCCCCTCTTCCCTCCCCCATGTAATTTTCTATTCCCTCTTTGGGGTTAGTCTCAGCTAGGTTATACAAGGTGATATGATTTGAATTTTTCTGATTGACATCTGCATTTTAAAGAAGAATATGTTAACATTAATGGCGAAATATTTATGGGAAATGTTTCTGAACCTTGAGCCATAATGAAGCCCTTTGCTCACTTTAGGTTATGAGATCTTACCCTACCAGTCTCTATCTCTTCAAAAGAAGAGTGGTAATTTCTTGTACCCATGCTTCTGAAATATTGCCAATACCTGTTATAAATTAATCAAAGCCAATAGAGTTCTCATAAGTAACATGCAAGTCATGGTTACTTTTTTTTTATTTCCATATTACTCCTTCAGTTGGAAATACCTTACTATCCTTCCTCCATCTATTTAAATTAGGGATTTCAAGCTGGTATCCAAGGATTTCTATATGACCCTAGATACATTTTTTTTGGCCATTACATTGGGCCTGTAGCAAGTAATGAGGTAGATATTACTCTTACCCAGTTAACAAAAGTAGCTAGGCTCCTATTGTATTGTATCTAGTCTACTTCATATGTTTATGTTAACTGCACAGGGTACTTGACTTTTTGACCTCTACTCATCCTTCAAGATCTCATCTAAAAGTCATCTTTTCTACAAGGTTTGAGAATCAATCAATACTTACAGCAAGTTAGTTGCTGGTTGCATTAATCATAAGCACCTAGCTCTTATGCAGGAGCTCCTAGTCTTATGCAGGGGCTCTGAATAGAATAATTAACTGCAAATGCAATTTAGTGAAGTGGGTCTGATGGTGGAGACAGCCGATTATGGCACTGAGGAAGCAGGAGGTATGTTGGGGCTGACTGGGCTTTCATGTACCCTTAAATTGCTCAGTGAAGGATGCTGACTCTTTTACATCTGGGAGTGTTTAGTACTGCCTTGTACCTTTTAGTGACTCTGGAGGCAGTATATATCCTTATATTCTACATAGTGTGAAAAGAAAATATCTTGGGCTCTCAAAATCACTAAGCTAAAGGGAAAAGTCAAGCTGGGAACTGCTTAGGGCAAACCTGTCTCCTATTCTATTCAAAGTCACCCCTCTGCTCACTGAGATAAATGCATATCTGATTGCCTCCTTTGGAGAGGCTAATCAGAAACTAAAAGAATGCAACCATTTGTCTCTTATCCACCTATGACCCGGAAGTCCCCTCCCCACTTGGAGTTGTCCTGCTTTTCCAGATTGAACTAATGTTCATCTTACATATTTTGATTGATGTCTCATATATCCCTAAAATGTATAAAACCAAACTGTGCTCTGACCATCTTGGGGACATGTCATCAGACCCTCCTGAGGCTGTGTCATGGGCATGCATCCTCAACCTTGGCAAAATAAAATTTCTAAATTAACTGAGACCTGTCTCAGATTTTGGGGGTTTACATTTTGGTAACCACGTAGGGATTCTGAGTGGAAGTGCCCCTGACCTTTGAGAAATCTCCTACCAGTGCTTGGTACCAGCATGAGCTAACTTTATGGCTCAAACCAACAGGACAATTTGCTGAGGTATGGGAGCACCCCCTCCAGAGAATCCCTGATCTCCCAAAATTTGGTTAAGACCTAAAGTTTATTTTGCTGTACAACTCCCCGTTTTTTTGTTGTTGTTGTTGTTTTGTTTTTTGAAGTTCTACTTGCTTCCAACAAGGAAGACAAGTTTTCCTGCTTCCATGATGATAGAAGGCAGTTACTCCTTTATGGAGTTTCAGCTCACTTCCAACAGGGCAGATGAGGGGTTTTTTTCCTACTTCTAGGATGGTAGACAGCCATCTTCAGCCTGAGACCCATCTCTAGGTAAGTAGCTGAATTGGGGTTTTGTCTTGGCTAAAGTTAACAACCAGCTGGTCTTAATTTCTCCTTACCATTAGAGCACTCAGTAATCATATAAGTTGTGTGATCTTTTGTTTTGCTTAACTGTTTTATGTTGTTTGTTTCTGTTTTTGTTGTTGTTTCGGTCTTTTTCTCATTGGGTTTGATCAACTCTATCTGACTTGATTAAATCCAAAGGAAGTTCCAAATTATGGGGAACAAGGCCTCTGAAGTGGCTAACTTTCCACACATACACACAAAAAGGTGGTGTGGTAGGGAGAGAAAAATTGCCAGCAAAAGGAAAAAGAAAAAGAGAAAATATTTTTTATTTTGACTACTAAGGGTCTTTATTTAAACAACAAGGCCACCTTTTTGCTAGCCAGACCAAACTGAAAGAGCATTGGCTATACTTCTGAAATAGCAGAATTTTTCCTAGCTGAAATATGGTAATGAGATTTAAAAAGATTTTTTTAAAGGAGCTCAGTGGTTAAAAGTCAGCTTAATTAAAAGCTAACATCCAAGATGTGTGTGTGTGTGTGCCTATGTGTGTGTTTGTGTGCATATGTGTGTGCTTGTGTTTAACAGGCTTTCGTGATTTTGTTTTTGCTTTTATCCTAGGACCTTGTCTTTTTTTTTTTTTTTGAGCAAAAGTATTTTTCTTCTCAGTTGACTGAATTCTGTTTTCTTCATTTACTTCTGCTGTCTCTTCTCTTGCACCTTCTACTGCATGGAGAACCTAAAATAGATTATAATAACCTAGGGTTCCTTAAAGAAAATGAAGAAGACACCAGACTCTCTTTGGGGGAGAAACATTTTTTCCTTATGGAACCCCAAGAATGTAATCAGACAAGTTCGTCTCAGCTCTTAAATTCCTTAATTTTGTATTGTGTTACCGTTTTATATTTTTACTAAAACAGTTATTGCAACAGAGGTTACTCTTGGGTTTTTAAGGAAGACTGTGGTTTAGACACTTAGAAATGTCTTTGTTTAAAAAAAATTAAGTGTACTGTAAAAGCATCACCTGGTCCAATCTCATAATAACTCTTACTTTTTGGAAACCCAGGATTCAGTGTGGGCTCTTCCCAGAGCACAGAGATCCAGTTAAAAGTTAGGTAGTCCCTATCTAAATAAAACTGATCTCCTTATACAATCCTATGATTGATTTCCACAATTTTACGTTTGATTTGGCATCCATCTTTAATCTCCCTCTAGCACCACTAGACTTTTTCTCTATGTACTTTATGATGTAAATTTTGCTATTTGATTTTCATCTGAGTTGTTTCCTTTAATATGCAAATTTAAAGCTGTTTAGCTGACAACTGCCTAGAGTCGTGAAACAGGTTATCAAGAATCTGAAAGTCTAAGATAAGAAAAAAAGAGTTTTATAAATCTCTAAGATGTATTTCTATTGGCATGCCTAATATGTCTATATATTTATGTTTTATGTACAAAATATTTCACTACAAAAAACATATAAAAGAGCTTTAATTAATTGGCTTAAGAAAATAAAAGTGCTTGAATCAAACACTTTATCAGGAAAAAAAAGACTAGCCAAATGGTTTTTCAAGTTTACATAACTTAAGTAAAATCTTTAATAAATAAGTTAGCTTTAAAATTGTTGGTAAAGTAATATTAGAAATGTCTTAAGAATTACCAGCATACATTTTTGTTTGCAATTATTAATCAAACAATTTCATACTTATCCCTACCAGATACTATAAGGTGTAAAAATTTGGCATAAGGTTTACAAAACTATAAACCCAGCCCAAGACAGAATGATCTTTGCTTGTGTAATCTTTAATAAATAAGATGTTGATATTAGTTTAGTAAAAATAGCTACATCTTGAATTTAGTGAGATTACTATAACTTCTCATCTTGTGGCTTTAGGTGGTCTAGTCCATAGGCAGTAAGGTCTGTTTTGGGAAAGGACTGTTATTGTCTTTGTTTCAAAGCTAAACTATAAACTAAGTTCCTCCCAAAGTTAGTTTGGCCTATGCCCAGGAATGAACAAGGACAGCTTGGAGGTTAGAAGTAAGATGGAGTCAGTTAGATCAAATCTTTTTCACTGTCTCAGTTATAATTTTGCAATGGCAGCTCCATAACTTTAAATAATGACAATTGCAGTTTTTATAAATAATCTAGGTAAACTGTTAAAATAAATAAAATAATTAGGTAAATATAATAGGATAAATACTTGTAGACAAACTCATCATAATTTAGAATCTAAGGTTATATTAAATTAAATAATAGATATTTCATTATTTGGATATTTTCCAATAAAAATAAACTTGTAGGAAAACATTAAAAAAGTGTATCCTTTTAAAAAATGGTGAACAATTTTTGTCTAATTTAAAGCTTGAAGGTATGTATAAAACAAGGTAAAAGGAACCAAGAAGTAAAAGAGATTACTAAAGAAAGTTATAAAAATAAAGATTTTTTTTTGTAAGAAAGCTTAAAGGGAAACAATTTCATATGAGAAAGGATCTTGTATGGTAAATTTAGTCCTAGAGTAAAATGACTAGTTGTTTAAGAAAGAGGGATGTTCAGGACAAACCAGAATGTCCAAGCATATCATGAACGGTCTGTGTAAGCCACAGTAAGAGGATTTATTTAAAAAAATCTTTTATATGATCAAGTTGTCATATTATTATTTAAGTTTTGTTTGCTTAGGAAAATTCTCAGATTACTTTTTTTAAAATTAAGGTTATTACATCTGTCTAACTCTCTGATGCAACTTTAAAGTACCTGTGACACTAAGTTACAGGACTTTGACTCCTGGATCTAAAAAGAACACCAAGTCCTGCTAAATTTTAAACACCGAAAGCAATTAAAGCCCCATCTTCAGGCCCTGCAGAAGATGTCAATCAAAATAAACATTCCTGAGACACAGGGCCAGAAAGTAAAGCTATTTCAACTCAAGGCCCAGGGACTATCACAGAAAAGGTGGGCACATGAGATTGAAAGGGCTGATTTTGAAACATAAGTTCAGTTTCTCTATAAATTAGTCATTGATATTAAAGGCACCCTGATGCAAGACCAGCATATGGGCCCCTGTGTCAAATTAACAAGGTTTTCTTGAAGCATTAACTGACTCCCTAATAAAGGTTATAAAAGGCTTATGGAAGTTGTATCTTATGGTCAAGATTAAAACTTTATAGATTGTTTATAAAATTTTGAAAAACACATTTAATTGGCTTCATGCTGTTTTTATCAGGGCTTGTGGTTTGCAACATTAAGTCTCCTCTCTCAAAGAATGAAGGTTTTTGCCTTTTTGAAATCCTTGAGTTATCACTTTGGTCAAATGAATGATCCTGTTTTGTGATATCAAGAGTTTTAAACCTTTGATATTTGACAAACTTTCCAAAATCAAATTATACATTATGTCTTTTTCTAACCAAATTTATCCTTTAAGGTATTAGGTTCCCTAAAGTCCAGAAATGACATAGTCTGGCTTATTTGGTATAAAAATTATATAGGAAACATTGTCAAATATAAAATGGTGTTTGGTTTTCTTTAGGCTGTATTTGTACAAATATGTTATTGGTATGTGTTCCAAAATCACAGGAAATTCCTATAATTCCGATATGACTTAGTGTTCATTATCAGGAATAATTGTAATTGTCATGTTAAATTATTGTGTGCCACAGAGGTAACAAATTTCCTTGTCACTCGTGTCTTTGACTATGGCTGCTCTAAAACCTTTTGTCATCCATGGACAATTGTTGTCTTGTTTTGGTCCTCCTTAGAAGGTGGTTTTATAATCAGCTATAGAACTCTAACAGGTGTTCTTAAATGCAGATTTCTGATAACTTTGGAAATTGTGACATTAGACTAGAGGAAAAAAACTTTCAGGACTCCCATGGAGAGCTGAAATGTTCATGAATATCAAGCAGAACAGAAGTTAACTATGTAAACTGAACTGATAGAAGACTAAAGTAATATTTTTGACTATTTGCTTTAAACATTGCTCATCTTTGTTTTTTTTCAGAGTCAAGGAAACTTCTTTTGAGCTACTGACAGCTTTTAACAATTTTATATACTCCTATGAACAAAATTTGGAGCATATTTGTTTCTCTCTACCTGATTTCTCCACAATTTGGAAACTATTTGTGAGTATTCTTAACTTACACAATACAGTTATTTGCATAAGTGCAGTAAGAATCTTTTCATTTTGCAACAGGACACAATTGGAGAAACTTGTTATTTTAATGAGGCTTTGATTGGAATGGTGTGCTTTCCTTTAAGGAATCAAACTTGACTTATGGAGCCAATAAAGCCCTTTGGGGAAACTGGCCTCATAACTTCCCTGTACAGGGTTTCTGATCTGTGATAAGTAAATAATGTCACTTTCTGGCAGGCCCAGGAGCCCCAGGTTTATCTCGGGACCTCAAGAGGAAAGGATCGCCCGACTCATAGGTATTTGATGGCACAAATCCATGGCTGGGCTCAACTATAAAAAAGTCTTATCTGAGATTCCTTCTATGGAACAGAGTTCCATCAAAGCCATTTTAAAAGCCTATGTGAAAAATATTTATTCTTGCTGCACTGTATGCAAATAATTAGGCCAAGTAAAATAAAGCATATCAGTCCTATCATGACTTGTCATTAATAAAAATGGGAAACTGGGGAGAGAAAATTTATGTTTCAAAACTAAAATATATTTGTTGTTAGATTCTAGTCTTGCTTAATGTTTTTCAGTTTTATTATTTTCTACAGTTTGGACAAATTCTAATTTTTCTTGGCTACAAGTTTTCAAAATAATGTTTTCCATTTTTTCCCTCTTTTTCCCCCATTTTTTCTAATTTGGAGTCATTGAAAACTAAGCTGCACTTTCATAAAGCCCTGAGAACTTAAGCTAGACAATAAACTTCAGAAGAAAATAACAGCAACCTATTTACATACATAAACCACTTTCATGCCTGTTTGCCAATGTTTGGATTTCAGAGTAATGTGGCCTATATAGATTTTCCAGGATTGTTCTTTTTGTGGTTGTTGTTTTTCTCCCTTCCTCCCCCTATTTTCTTTTCATAGGACATGAGACTTCACAACCTTCTAACAAAACTTTCCTAATAACTTGGTGCTTACCTGTCTAGGAACAAATCATCCTAGCCATGAGAGATCAGACAAAACATGGGACCAGAGGCTCAATTTCTTCTAAAATGCTTTCTCCAAAAGATTTTACAAAAAAAAAGGGGAGAAATTTGAAAGGAAAATATCTTGGTCCCCCAAAATCACTAAGCTAAAGAGAAAAGTCAAGCTGGGACTGCTTAGAGCAAGCCTGTCTCCCATTCTATTCAAAGTCACCCCTCTGCTCACTGAGATAAATGCATATCTGATTGCCTCCTTTGGAGAGGCTAATCAGAAACTCGAAAGAATACAACCATTTATCTCTTATCTACTTATGACCCAGAAGCCACCTCCCTGCTTCAAGTTATCCTGCCTTTCCAGATTGAACCAATGTTTATCTTATATATGTTGAATGATATCTCATGTCTCCCTAAAATGTATAAACCAAACTGTGCTCTGATCACCTTGGGCACACGTCGTCAGGACCTCCTGAGGCTGTGTCATGAGCACGTGTCCTCAACTTTGACAAAATAAACTTTCTAAATTAACTGAGACCTGTCTCAAATTTTGGAGGTTCACAATAGTGTCAGTATTTATACAAATTTCATTTGTATTATGCAACATCTTTACCATCTTTTTCCCCCTTTCACATATAAACTGAGCTATTTGGACCATTTAGACCTCAGTCAGGACCCTCTCTTGCACTGCCTTTTCCCTCATCAAAGCAAAATAAGCAAAAACAGAACATCCTGCCCTCAATTCCCTCCATTGCTATCCCTCTCCCAAGAGGGTAAACATAATAATGACACTAATCATCATTAAAAAAAAATAGCATAAATCTAGTGTGTCTTGAAGCTTTGCTGTGGCCTACCAAATAAGAATCAAAATACCATTCTCCTAGTATTTGGTAACTGAACATCCTTGGACTGGAGGTTGAAAGGAGCTAATATTATTCTAAATCTTATCCTTTTGCATACAGAGAAATGGCAAAATTCCAGCATAATAATAGTGCACATTTACATAATGCCCTTTTTCACAGGCATTCATAGTGCTTTGCAAAATTTCCTATGCATTTTCTCAGTATTAGATAAGAAGAGAAGGGAGATGATTGATTCTAGATGGGGAAAGAGGGATAGGCAAAGCCTGAATCCAAAAAAGTAAAATAAACTGTGAGACAGAAAGCTTAAGAGTGGACTCCTGACTCTGAACTTAATGTTCTTTCTACTATTCTTCTGAAGGCAATTTTTTTTCTTTTCTTGGGTCTGCTATTCAATAGCACCTAATGAATATTGAAAAGCAAAAGGAGAATGGCCCTTGACATTGAACACTACCAAAAGACATGTTTAGAAGGCAAGATTTATTAAAACTGGGTTCCAGATAAGCCTATTTTTAAAAATTAAGAAACCAAAAGCAAGTCAAAATTAGGGAAAAATATGAAATATCTACAAAACAAGCTGCATCTTTGTGAACCCTAATGATAGAAGGTATGGAAAACTGTTAGATTAAAAAAAGACCAGACTATCCTCAAATAACCTAGAGGTAAATAGTAATACGTTATAATTCATCTGATAAATTTCTCAAAACTGTGTGTTTTATTCAGACTAGACTCACTAGGGACTTTTCAAAGTTCTAGATTTATAAGAAAAAAATACTTGAAATTGAAAAGTAGGAGTAATATATAGGGATCAAAGTTTGAGTCAATTTTTTTTCAGTAAAATGAACTAGTGATGCAATCGTTCCAGGGATTTAAAAGAGTTTCCTCAAATGTATCTGGGGGATAAGAAACACTGAAGAGAAAATAGGCCTAGTAATAAATGACAAATGAGATGAAATGAGATTTTGAAATAGTTGGGCTACTGAACTGACTTTTTAAATAGATATTTTAACAAGAAAAACAAAAAAGGGGCTAAGAACAGAGAAGGAACAACAGTTGTCAGCAGAATGCTGATAAATAGCAAGCAAGGGAATTCAGTCCTTGCAAAAATAAGGATTTTCCAAATCAGCAAACTTGGGGGATATGCCTTGCCACGGGGGATAAGAAAGAACTGAGTAATTTATATTCTGAATCACATTTTCTCTTACGTTTTCATTCAGCCAGGATAATCAAACCATATTATAAACCCCAGAAACTGCTTTAACATGCAAAACATGCAAAACACCTGGCTTGCATTCTCACTCCTAATATCCTCAGATAATCACACATGCTTTTAACAAACAAATTTAATTATCTACAAATGCCAAGCACTCTAGTAGGTATTACAAATACAAAGAAGCATTAGCACCTTTCCCAAATCATTCCACCCACCTTGGAATTACACTTAGCTTGGAAATCATTCCATTCACCTTGGAACACTCACTCAGTTTTGACCCAGGACCCCATCTGCCCTTCAAAGCAAGAAGGTTTGTTGAAGATCCAATGGCTGCAGGTATATGGTCTACGTTTGTAGTACAGTATGAAATAAAAGAGGATACAAACAAATGGAAGAACATTCCATGCTCATGGGTAGGAAGAATGAATATCATGAAAATGGTCACACTGCCCAAGGTAATTTATAGATTCAATGCCATCTCCATCAAGCTACCAATGTCTTTCTTCACAGAATTGGAAAAAACTACTTTAAAGTTCATATGGAACCAAAAAAGAGCCCGCATTGCCAAGTCAATCCTAAGCCAAAAGAACAAAGCTGGAGGCATCACGCTACCTGACTTCAAACTATACTACAAGGACACAGTAACCAAAACAGCATGGTACTCATACCAAAACAGAGATATAGACCAATGGTACAGGACAGAGCCCTCAGAAATAATAGCACACATCTACAACTATCTGATCTTTGACAAACCTGACAAAAACAAGAAATGGGGAAAGGATTCCCTATTTAATAAATGGTGCTGGGAAAACTGGCTAGCCATATGGAGAAAGCTAAAACTGGATCCCTTCCTTACACCTTATACAAAAATTAATTCAAGATGGATTAAAGACTTACATGTTAGACCTAAAACCATAAAAACCCTAGAAGAAAACCTAGGCAATACCATTCAGGACATAAGCATGGGCAAGGACTTCATGTCTAAAACACCAAAAGCAATGGCAACAAAAGCCAAAATTGACAAATGGGATCTAATTAAACTAAAGAGCTTCTGCACAGCAAAAGAAACTACCATCAGAGTGAACAGGCAACCTACAGAATGGGAGAAAGTTTTTGCAATCTACTCATCTGACAAAGGGCTAATATCCAGAATCTACAAAGAACTCAAACAAATTTACAAGAAAAAAACAAACAACCCCATCAACAAGTGGGCAAAGGATATGAACAGACACTTCTCAAAAGAAGACAGTTATGCAGCCAAAAGACACATCAAAAAATGCTCATCATCACTGGCCATCGGAAAAATGCAAATCAAAACCACAATGAGATACCATCTCACACCAGTTAGAATGGTGATCATTAAAAAGTCAGGAAACAACAGGTGCTGGAGAGGATGTGGAGAAATAGGAACACTTTTACACTGTTGGTGGGACTGTAAACTAGTTCAACCATTGTGGAAGCCAGTGTGGCGATTCCTCAGGGATTTAGAACTAGAAATACCATGTGACCCAGCCATCCCGTTACTGGGGATATACCCAAAGGAGTATAAATCATGCTGCTATAAAGACACATGCATACGTATGTTTATTGCGGCAATATTCACAATAGCAAAGAGTTGGAACCAACCCAAATGTCCAACAACGATAGACTGGATTAAGAAAATGTGGCACATATACACCATGGAATACTATGCAGTCATAAAAAATGATGAGTTCATGTCCTTTGTAGGGACATGGATGAAGCTGGAAATCATCATTCTCAGCAAACTATCACAAGGACAAAAAACCAAACACCACATGTTCTCACTCATAGGTGGGAATTGAACAATGAGAACACATGGACACAGGAACGGGAACATCACACATGGGGGCCTGTTGTGGGGTGGGGGGAGGGGGGAGGGGATAGCATTAGGAGATACACCTAATGTAAATGACGAGTTAATGGATGCAGCACACCAACATGGCACATGTATACATATGTAACAAACCGGCACCTTGTGCACATGTACCCTAGAACTTAAAGTATAATTAAGAAAAAAGAAAATAGTTATTTTTAACTTAAAAAGCTTATATATGTTCATTATAAAAAACTTGAAAAACTCAGAAAAATAGAATAATAATATAATCATGAAGAATATTTTGATTTTAATGCATTTTCTTCATCTTCTAAACACGCACATATATACACACATACAGACTACACTGTTCCATATTGTTTTATTTGATGTACTTTGACGTACTCTTTTTATTAAGTATCCTTCCAAATATTATTTTAATGACTCTATTGCATTCCCTTGTATGGATATATCATAATTTATTCATCCATCTCCCTGTTGTTAGAAATTTAGATTGTTTCCAATTTTCACCACTCTATAATGTTCACTGATCTTTTCATCTATACTATTTTGTTAAAATGAATCACAAAATGAATTACAAAAAAACTTAGAATTCCTGAGCCAAATATTATCAATATTTCTTCAAATTTTGTGAAAAATTTAACTGTTCTCCAAAATAGAGACTAATATAATGAACTCCCTTATACAAATCATCCCACAATCAACATAAAAAATTTTGCAAAATCTTTATTTTTAAGGTTCTTGATATGCAGTACATTGTCTAATTGCTTTCCAGAAATTGACCAATTTTTATTCTCACTATCATTGTGAAGCTCCCATAAGAACTCTAACTAGAATTGTGTGTCTCTAATATCTGATCATTGTTGGCAAATATGGTTAGCTATTTCAAACCTAAGTTGTCAGAATCTTGCCTCACATTGTCCTAAGAGTCTAGTCTAGATCCTTTAAAAATTCATTTCATCTCACAATGCAGTTTCTATCTTTCAAGATTGTCTACCTTCAATTCAGCAGAGGAGCTCAGACTTCAACTGACGGTCCTTCAGCCTTTGGAAAATGGATGTGGGTAGCAGTTTCCCCTCTGTACGAGTATCTCTGGTGTAGTTGGGGAATCCAAGCTCAATTCTGATCATCCGGTTACTTATTGGAAGTAGTGTGAGTCATGATAATTGAAGGTTGTTGGCTAAGCATGGTTGTCATGCTAAGTTTCCATATGTCAGCCTTCTTCAACGTCTGTATCTTTGCTAAATAGACCAAAACTTACAATATATAATTAAATGTTACATTATATGCATCATCAAAACTAGGCCAGTCTATTTATACGGAAATTGAGTATCTTGCTAACTTACTATTTTGATTTGAAGATAGATGTTGGCACTCAAAGAATTATTATTATTATTGTATAAATAATATAATGGCTATATGGTATACTGGAAAAATCACCAAAATGGGAATAAAGAGTCAAATTCGAGACTCAACTCTGCTATTAACTAGTTATATAATGTTAGATTAGTTTTAAAATCACCCAGTATTTGATTTCGGTTTTTAAATTTACTAAACTGTCCTCTGGTTCTAAAATTCCACAAATTAAAAATGTCTTGATATAACTTATTACCCATTTACTATTAAAAATGCACTTTAAAAGATGATAGGTAGCATAGTAGTTGCTATGACATTATCTGTAGGAGTTAATGTAAGTCACCTAGTGGTGTGATGCTGATAAATGTTTTCAACAACCAGCTCTCTGGTGAAAACAGCTCGGATATGTATCTTTGGCCTGGTTCCAGAGTGTGACTATTCACCCCAGATGATTTAAAGTCACTGAATGTGGAATTGGAAACAGATAGGCACAATCATCTCACAAGCCAGTGTAAGCTGGCTCTGGCACAATACTGGCCCTGCATTTATATGGTATTCAAGGAAAAATATATTCAGCTGAAGTAACAAACAATCTAGCTATCAGTGGCTTAAACAATAAAGGAATATATATTTTTTTCCATGTAAAAGAAGTCTGGACGTAGCGGTTCAAAGTTTGTTTCAGCAGTTCCACCATCTCAGGGTATTGGGTCAGTTTCTCCATAATTCTCTTGGCCTTCTACCTTATTGTTACAAAACAGCCAGAGTAGCTCCAAGCTTCCTGTCCTTTTAGGACCATATCCAAAGTAGAAAAGACATTGTAAAGAAAATATACTTTTTACTTGTCATTGTTTTCCTCCTTTTATTAAAGAGAAAGAAAAAATTTGCCCAGAAACCCCAGAAGGCTTCACCTCATGTTTCACTAGCCAGGACTGAATCCCATGTCCATTCTCAGACCTGTCACTGGCAAAGAGGATGTGAATTGCCACAGTTGGTTCAGATCAATTGTGATTTTAACCCTGGGACTGAACATATGGACAAAAGAGGAAGTAACATTGATGTAGGCAAATAATAGTGTTGGCTACATGTAAGAAAAGTTTCAAGCTGAAAAATGCTGATACTTGCAACTACCTACTCCAATCCAATTTGTTAATTATTGAGTCTATTCAATGGGCAAGACAAAAGAATGTATCTATCTCTCTCTTGGGCATGTCATAATCACATGCCCAAGAGTGGATTTATAAAGGAAGTCCCAGCATAGTCATTAAGACGTTTAACCTTTTTAAACTTCTTTATGAAATTGGGAGAGTTATATTTTAAAATGTCAATCTATATCATAATTTAACTTACAAAAATTTTTAATTAATGTGAACACCTTAGATCAAGCTTTTTGACCATTTGGACAAAGGAGTAACTAGTCCTGATTTAATTTAAAGATTTAGAGTTAATATCCTAATTCAGGGATTTATTATCATGATATATTACTATATGTAATGGCCTTCATTTAATTTTTAGTAAACGCTGCTTGGGTTATAGACCAGTTTCTAATACATGTACTCAAGTAATAAAACTTCATTTATTTAAAATGATTTTGTGGTTCATAAATAGTATTTCATTTGATATCTCATTTTATAACATTCAGAACGTTTGCCACAGTGCATCCAAACTGAAATTGGAAAGGGAGTCAGATCTGGTATATTAAACAAGTCTCAGAATAAAAATTTTTTTTACATGGAAAATGACCAGCTTATAAAGCCAGAAGATTCTCAGAGTTGTCACCTAGGGCTTACACAGCCTTTAAAAAATATACAGAACCTGTTCAGACTCTGCTTCTTTATATTTTCCTAATTATCATTTATTTATATATCATTTTTTATTTGCAAATACAAATGCAAATAAAAGATGGAAAAATGCTACTATACAGAAAAAAGGCCTAATATGACAAATGTCATTATTGAAGCAGCATATGGGGCAAGGGTACATAATTTGGTTATTTTTATTTTGTAGTGCCTAATATTGTAGATGGTTATTGTTAAATTGAGAAAATTATACCAGTGGCATACTTTAGGTTGTTCAATCATTTCAGTAGAGGTGGCAGATGAGCCTATATGAGTAGCTAACGCAGAACTAGATAATTTTTGCTCAGTTTAGACTATGGAGACTACTTTTTATTTTGGCTGTGGAATATGACTAGATTATCTAATTTGAGATGTATTATATAACCCAGCCCTTTACAAATTTTATATTTTATCTATTTAGTACTTTTCTATGTCCCCTATAATGCCTAATCATAGGTGTCAAGAATATTTGTTCTTTTGGGTTTTCTCATTTTATTTTAAAAGTGTTACTTCTGTCATTCACTCTCTGACACACTGAATCTAAATCTATCAAATTAGGTAATAAGATCAAACTGGCATTTCATATAATTTAAGCAAAACAATCCTTGAATTACCTGGATTAAATGCCTTCTTTAAAAATCGTTATTTCATTGCAAAAAAAGAAAAACCTAGCACAGAAAAAGACTGATTGAGTATACAAAATGACAGCCTGAAGGCCAGGTGCAGCCTCCAAGCATGTATTTACTCTACACAATATTTAAAAGTCAAAAGTCACAACAAATTCACATTTCCAGCTACTCTTGAAAATCATTAGGAACTGTCAGGATTACGTCTCTACATTTTCAGCTGGAGCTGATTCCCCATCCCCACACCCTACTGTAGACAAGGCCTCTGCTCTCCTGTAACCCTGCACAGTCCCTGCTGCAATGGGCTCAGTGCTTGCACTTAGCACTCCCACTTTGCCAGTTTCTCTCATTTAAGGCATCTAGCAGGCATGTGGTTGTGCTAGTGGTTACCTGATAAAGACACTCTCACTAAGAAGGAAGTGGGGGCTTCTTTCATCAAGGAAGGAAGATATCCCCTCTAAGCCCCCTCAGGAGGAGCCTTAGAGGGGAAATCATTTTCCCCTCTAAAATTATTATGAAAATCATTTCCTAACTTTGCCTAGAGGGGATTTGCCTAGAGGGGATATCTTTTTCTAATACCAAAGGAGACTAGCAGCCCTCACAGAAATCTGATCTAAGCCTAAAAAGTCCTAAGAGCAAGAATTTTGTCTTATTTGTCTCATTTGACTTTGTAATCTTGGGGCTAGGCAGGTCTAGAACACATAATAGGATTCAAAAAATGTAAGACAAGTAAATGATTCAGCTTCTACTGTCTACCAAAAATTAGTTTGAAAGGCTCTTAAAAGATTTAAGGTATATTTGGAGGAATATTGGCACCTTCATGGTCACCAGCCTATGGGATCTGAACCTCTTTTAAAAGGAATTCTGTGGACTAGGAAGCCCTATTGACTTGGATTGCTCCACATTAATAGATTCTACTTCCTTTTCTTATTTGCTATGTGCTACTGTTCCCTGATGGAACTGAAGCCTGGGCATCCAGCTATTCCCCAAGCCTGTCTAGTCTGTCCCACATCCCTTTACCCAGATGTGTACCTAAAACCCCAATATACTTTATTAGCTGAGTGCACCCAAAATATAATAGTAAATTTCAAAAATCTACTCTGCTTCCAGAAGCAAAGTAAACTTTCTTTACAGACACACACACACACACACACACACACACACACACACACACACTAGGTAAAGTAGAATATAGTTTTTCTTCCAATCTATTGTATTCCATACATCTTAAAAATATATACAGAGAATTATTTTTGCTCATTTGGTTACTTATTTATACTTCTCTACAAAGGATTGAGGAGGTTTATGAAAATAAGAAAAAATGATTAAAAAATCAGGCACAAAAAAGTATTAATTAGATTAGAAAGTCATAAACAGGGGTTGGGTCTCACATGTCTGGTCACAAAATTGCTTTGAGATCCCCTGCATACCAAAAGAAAATAAAAACAAAACCAGTTTACTGATTTGTCCCTAAGGAAAAATACATGCCAATATTTCCCCAAAGAAGCAACATTTTCTTTAGTATCTAATTCTGAAAGAAATTTATGATATGTGGACAGTAGTGGCAGCTGGGGAGAGCTGGTCATGGAAAGACGTCTTAGATAATTTTCTTTACAAATGCAGGAATGGCTTCATAAAACTTACTCAGGGTATCCCAAATGCAAGGTGAATATGTGACACAAAATGTCACACAGGAGGTAAGTTCTACAGATGCCCCCACTCCCACTCAAAAAAAACAAAAACAATTCAAGTAAACAGCTTTTGGCTGATACGCTGTGATTGGAGAAGAAACCTGGAAGCAGTAATTCTCAGTCATAGCTCCACAGATCCCGCATCAGAACCACCAGGGATTAGCGAGTGCTTTTTAAAACCTCACGTTCTTCGTATCTACAGAGTAGGAATCTCTGGGGGATAACCCTGAGGAGATGCAGCTTTTCCAGGCTCCCCAAGTGATTCTTAAATCCCATCAGAAAGAGAACCTCTGTCCCAGAACAGTGGTCTTCAGGCTTTTTTTGCTTGTGTGTTATAAAAGAATTTTGAAAAACTAAGTACAGTGTCACATTTAAGTTGCCATCTCAATTTTTTATTCTAATTTTATACAGTTGCAAAACATATAATTTCTGGTTTATTGTAATACTGATATTTTCAAATAAGTCTTATCTATCACCTTAAAATGTATCCAACGAGTCTTAAATACTCATACTTAATGAAATGTAAATAAATGAAAAACTCTTCTACAACAGTCAAAAATTTGACATTTTCTCCTTGAACTCATGTTTCCATTACACTGTCCCCATAGAAATTTATTCTAATGCAATGTATTTTATGTTTTAAAGTCTTTTTTAACATCCCATCATGCTTCTCTGCAAAATATGTACATTGAAATTTTGTTTTAGTTTTTGTGACGTTAAGACTGTGTTAACATTTCTTCAGAACTAAGTTAGCATTGTAATTGTTATTAGTATACAATTAACAAAAACATACATATTATATATATTTCATAACTAATTTTTAATTATGACAATTTTTGGAAAGTGCTTCTATTAATTTGATGGATAGGCTGTTTTGTTCCCTGGTTAGTTCATGTATTCATTGGTGAGTATTACTTATTACTAGAATAAGACAAGCTTAAGCATCAATTTTATTCATATGCTTTGCTTTACATACAATACTCACTGAGTGTTTACACAAATAAGGAGATGGGAATGGAAAGTATTTTGTTATAGCAATGTCACTCAAATCTTTGAACTTCTTCTGAATTATAAACCCCAAATCATAGATAATTTATCATCAAAATTTAATTTTATTAAGTTTAAGCTGACAATTTTATTAGGTCTTCCTTCAATTTTGTTAACAGCACAGAATTGGAAATCACCTAACCTGCAAACGAATTTATAATCCAGTCATTAATAGCCATTTACTCTCTTTAATCCTAGCACCAACATTTTGAAATATGATTAGTTTAATGCTCTAGATGTGTAAAAGGGATGTGTAAAAGCCTCTAGGGCATTAAACTACCCCAAGTAAGATTCCAGATGGTTGAAAAGTATTCCATTCTTTTAACAAGTGGATGAAGCATGATTGGAAAAGGGGAGGTGGGAAAAGAGGCCAAGGGACATTCTCAGGCAGATTCATTTTAGTAAAGAATATTTGTGGAAATTGAGGATCTCAGAAAAGCTTTTCTAAAAACTACTCTTGCTTCCACATTTCTCAAAAAGTCTTGAGGAAAGTTCACAAACCTCAGTTTGAAGACCACTGTGCAATGTATCTGAACACACTGAGAGAATGAATTACTTTCAAAAAGACTTCAATAATATTACAGAAAATTAATGTGTCCCAACATTTATCTCAGTCTTCTCAACTCCCTGGATTTAATCTAAATGTAGGTAGGTATAGCCTGACTTGAGATAGCTACAGCAAGGGTTAAGGAGAAGGAGCCAACAAAATGTTCATAACAAACAGCACAGGAAGATGTGGGAGATCTTTAAGAGCCAACAAGCCTTGCTGTTAGGAGAGCCAGTCCTTCTCTCCTTATTTTAATGAAATTCTTATAATTCCCCCAAGGGTTGAATTGGCTCTGGGTTGACAGGACCAGAAGGTCCTCATGTTTTCTCCCTGAGGAATTCTGTAATTTTGTTGCCACAAACAAAGCTGAGGATAGGAAAGCATCTCCTTTTTTGTTTTGTTTTGTTTAATATGAAAATAATTGCCTCTACTCTTGGAGACCTGGCTTAATTAGACTAATCTGATTTTCCACCGGCAAAACCAACACTAAAATGGTATTGCTCCAAGTTCTCTAACTATAGAGCAATCACACGTTTCCTCAACAGATACTAAAGTCAAATGCTCTAATGTTGGATGAGGTCATTGTGACTAGCTTGTTATAAGGCCTATTTTAAGAGACCACATGAATTTCAGTGAATATTATGCTGTGATAGGAAGCAACAGATAGAAAGTTTACTGCAGAAAAAAATTATAGAATTGTTCCTATAATTTATCTAAACAGGATGAGTTTCCACAAGTTATTTCATAAGCACTATGTTACTTGACCATAACCTTTGTTCTTCTACCCCCACACCCCACAATATCAGACCCTGGTCTGTTTTCCCCTCTCTTAGCAACCCCCTTCCTTTTCTTCCCTGCTTAGCTTGAACACTATCATCAACCTTTTGATGGATACTCTCACCAGCACTCTCAGTGCTCCCTTGAACTTCTGCTTATCTATTCTGCCAAGTCCCAGCTCAGAGTCAAACAACCATCTCGTTCTCTCTACTATTGCTTCTAGTTTGCCAAGTACTGCTGGAGAAAATTGTGTAACTGCTGATTCATGCCATGCCAAATCTGCAATTTCCAAATTCACCTTGACCCTTTGCACTACTTGGCAATCCTTTTACTTTTGCCTGGTTGGCTTCCTTTTCCAGTGCTCAGGTGCTCTTCCAAATCTCATGTAATTACTCTTCTGAGGTTTCCTGCCACACCTCCTCAATCAAGAGATGACCTAATTTTCTACATCAGAAAAAATTTGTGTTCAATTTCCCTTCCTCCCACCTCTAATGGTCATCTACATCTTAATGTGCCCTTCCCCCTGTTCCAGGGGATCATTATCATGCTATCCCCTCTTAATACTGTTCATTGGTTTCTAAGCTATTTACTAAAAACTCTATATACATTATTACAAGGCAAATATTCTCCTTGGAATTAATATTGCAAGTTAACAAATGGGCATTGGAAAGACAAGAAATAAAAGGTGCTGATTGGCTATAGATACAGCACATCAAAATAGCAAGTGTTGGCCTGGCGCAGGGGCTCATGCCTGAAATCCCAGCTACTTGGGGGGCTGAGGCAGGAGAATCACTTGAAATCGGGAGTCGGAGGCTGCAGTGAGCCGAGATTGCACCACTGCACTCCAGCCTGGGCAACAAGAACAAAACTCCATCTCAAAAAAAAAAAAAAAAAAAAAAAAAATATATATATATATATATATATATATATATAGCAAGTGCTCTTCCTCTTTGAATCATTCATAATCAAGAACAGAAATGAAGGTAAGTTGGGCTGCTACTGCCCATTAAATGTTTCAAAATTCTATCATAGTTCTGCCAACCAAGTATCACAACATGAAATTTAGAGAGGCAATACTTTAGCGATCAATGCCATTTTTGTCCTCTACTATTTGCTACCACCTGTCACATATGCAGTCAAAGATGCTACTAATGATAATTCATCCAACCAGTTTCTTTTTTTTAACTGTGAGGCGTTTTCTCACCCTCATTCAATCCAAACTTTTCATGGAAATTCCTAGGGCAACCAATGTGAATTATATATGATTTGATATGGCTGTCCTAATTTAACATCATATTACACCAGGTATCATCCAAAACTTACAAGTGACATATATATGTTGTAAAGGTATTTGTAGGCCAGGCATGGTGGCTCACACTTGTAATCCAAGCATTTTGGGAGGCTAAGGCAGGTGGATCATTTGAGGTCAGGAGTTTGAGACTAGCCTGGCTAAGAAGGTGAAACCCCATTTCTATTAAAAATACAAAAATTAGCTGGGTGTGATGGTGCACACCTGTAATCCCAGCTACTCAGGAGGCTGAGGCACGAGAATCGCTTAAACTCGGGAGGTGGAGGTTGCAGTGAGCTGAGACTGTGCCACTGCACTCCAGCCTGGGCAACAGAGCAACACTCTGCCTCAAAAAAAAGAGAAGTATGTGTAGAGACTACCAAAGAAGTTTTGATGTAGAGGATACTTAGGAGAGCTATGTATCCTATTTAACCAGAAGCAGATCTTTGTTTTGTGGGCCCCTAAAACACATAATTTGGAGTGGTCTGTCTTTCCAAAAAAGAATACAAAATTACGAATACAAAATGAGGTTCAGGGCCTTTGGAAGAGGTCTGTGAAAATAAAGGGCTCTAAAGTTTAAGTTTCATTAGCCTCATATAAATCACCCTTTCTGTATCTGACCACTTAACTGAGGCATTAAGCAATCCTAAAACCCAAACCAAATAAACACAAACTCACTAAAATGGGAACATCTAACATGAACCAAGCTCTGTACATAATACATTTCATACTCACAACGAACCTATCAGGTCGATATTACCTTTCTCACTTTTACAAAAGCAGAAACTGAGACTCAGAAAATTTAGTAACTTGCTCACAAGCAGCTCACTATGCACAGTGAAGCTGAGATCCAAACCAAAGTCTGACAAACTAAATCTTGTGTTATTTCCATTATAATACTCTCCCTTTAATGTTTCCCACAACATAAAGGGGTTAAGTTACTTTGGAGAACACCCCTAGAAAATGGCTGGAAGTGTTCAGTTAGTACTTGACATTGACATGACTTAACTCACTTTGAGACCTTCACTAAAAATACTTCTCTAAAACTGTGTTTAAAAGGCATGAAAAAAAAACAAATGTATAACTGGGTTACCTTCCAATAAGTGACATAGATGAAGACAAGAGATCTTAAGGTCCAAAAGAAATGTAGTAAAAGAAATGTAATAAAAAAGAAAATAGAAGCAGAACCAGAAAATCCTGAAGGGAGGCTAGAATTATTACACAATCTTTCAGGGAAGAGTGTGGTTATGGAAGGACATACTGACGATATGGATCTTTCACAAATTAAATCCTCTTCCTACATGTCCAATATTCTTTTACCTGCCATTATGATAATATCAAATTTTAAAGATTGAAAAATAATGACAGTGGCTTATATATTATATTATTCTATTATATCCATACCCTGTATTTGCCAGTTTGATCTCTTTTAAAAAAAAGTCTCTTAGAAGTATTCCTTCTTCCTCTTGAGGCCCCCAAAAGGTATATGCTGTGTCTTTATCTTTTCTTCATTTGCAGACTCTGTCACTGTGCTCTACAGATAGTGGCATTTCACAGAGGTTTGTTGCCATGAAAGAAGGTGTTGATGAGTCGTTTTTGACAGTCCAACATTTTCTAACACAAAAGTAGATATGATGTGATTCCATCCTATTCATTCAAAGACTTCAGAATAAAACTTTGTCATTTGGCTAGATCTAAGGCAAGAACTGATCAGATGTAGTTAGTATTTCCAGTCAACAAACTGCCATTGATGTTGAAATTACTTTAAAGACCTGTTGATTATGTGGTATTAGGGCCATTGTGACCTCGCTGTAGCTAAGATCAGTCCACTGCAGCAGGAGTTTCAAGAACAGCAGCACAAAAATAATGACTTAACTGGATAGAAAAAAAGGCACATATTTTCAGGAAGGCCTCTTTATTCTTAGAAGTTACCCTTCAAGATGACAAGTGGTGCAAACTCTTCAGGATCTTACCTGCCCTCAGAAATAAGGTGAGTCTTTGATGGAAAATGCTGAATAGAAAAGAGGGTCTCTCTCTCTCTCTCTCTCTCTCAACCCAGGCTAAAGGCAGATATTATTGTGCCTCTTCCCACAGAAGTTCTAAAATAGATGACAACTACTTGAAGGAATTGAATGAGGACTTAAAGCTAAGGAAGCAGGAACTGCTAGAGATGCTCAAACCTCTAGAAGATAAAAACAACCTCTTATTTCAAAAGTTAATGTCTAACTTGGAGGAAAAACAAAGGAGGTACGGGCTCTTACTCTGGATTCCTAGAGGTAAAAAGGCTGGAGAACTTGATCTCCAAAGGACTGGCAATAATTACTTACAATTTTTTTTTTTGTTAATTACTAAAGGTTTGGACATTCAGCTGTAGCAGGCAAACAATTTGTAACTACCAAGTCAGGGTGACAACAAATCCTTTATTTTCTTTTAGTAAATTAAATATGACTCAGCCCTCATTTCGTGGGGCTAGTTATAACTCTTCCTCCCCAGGCTGCCCACCCAAGAAATAGTGAAACGCTTTTAATAGCATTAGTTTACCACGGTCACACAGATGCTTTCTTATGCATGATCACTTTAGAATAAATAACTCTGCTCTTTCTATGCCAAGCAGTGGAATGGCAGTATTTTCTAAGCCTAGGAGCCCTCTGAATTAGGGCACAGCCTCTCTAAATATACTAGGCAGCTGAAGTCTTAACTCTTTACCAGAGCACTCACTGTACTTGGGACCCACAAACTCTGTTTCCTTTCTAGTCTCAGAACCTCTCTCCTCAGTGAGTCTATCTTTATTCTATACCCTTATCATAAGCATCTCAAAGGACTCATATTTTTGGAGAACAAAACGCAGGCAGAAAGTTGTGGTCAAGCACCAGCTGCTTACAACTCAGCAACAAGCACCAGCTGCTTACAACTCAGCAAAATAGACTTCTCTCAGAGCAAGAAAACACAAAGTCTTAGAATTGTGTTCTTCGCTTAGAACTGGGGAGAAAAAAGTACAAGAACACAAATATAAAATAATTTATGCCTTTAAGGAATATCCTCTCTCACAAGGACTTGATTTTGATTTAGATTTTGTTAGAACTTCTTAATGGCTTGCATTCTCTGGGGCTATGAAAGGATATCAGTGACTTCCCCAATAGACTCAAATGTCCTCATAGGAAGAAGCAAGGAAGTGGGAGAAAGTGGACAGAGGACAGAGATGGGTTAGGAAATAACTCTGGGATTTATCCTAGAAGATAGCAGGTTCTTCAACCTCTTCTTATAAAGGGGGCAGAATTACCCCTTCTTCTCCCAAAAGTCACACACTGCAACATTCTTCTGAGGGGGTGGAAAGGACTCTCCCTGGCTGTTGGAGACCTAAGTTTTAAGCATTAAAGAGCACAGAATTCATTCTAGAGCACATAGATAGGCAAATGTCAATTAGAAATGGAAACATCTTAGTTACAGAGATCTTCTATGACCAGAAGGGCTTCCATAACTCCTGATATTTCAGTCGCCATCTAACTTTCATGGTAGAGTACTTTCTGACTAGTTGCAGAACATCAGTATTACCCTTAAGGAGGTATGTATGTTTTATGATGCCTCTCTTTCTTCTAGTCTTCAGATCATGAGACAGATCATGGCAGGGAAGGGGTGTGAGGAATCCTCGGTCATGGAGCTCCTTAAGGAAGCAGAGGAGATGAAACAGAACTTGGTAAGAAGTAGGAGGGACTCCAGGAACAGCCTCCTGAATAGGGCTCAATTCCATTGCAGTGTCAGATGTGGAGAGAAAGACAGAGTACTCATCTCTAGCATCTGATGCTCCAACACTCATATCTCCTTGATCTAGAAAGTCCAGGGTGACCCAAAAGGAGTCAGATGGAATGTTGGGAAGAACACGACTAGCAAGCAAAAATTCTATTCTTTGACTTTTAAAAACTTTTTATCTAGGGAATTAATGAATATAACCATATTAACTCTTCACATTTCAGAAAGAATAGTAAAATATTTGCTATAAAGAATAGAAAATACCTATCAAAGTAAAAGAAAAGAAATAGTTTGCTCTGCAGGATTCTTACAAGATTTTCTTTCAATCAGCAATGTAAAGGATCTTAAAAATTAAAAATTAGTGGTCTAAGCCCCCAAGAAATGGCCACATAAGAGCATCTTAAGTGTTAGGAACTCATTTCTATAGATACTGTCTCACAATTATTATAATTAAAGTTATTACTTAAAACAATAACTTGGTTTTTTTTTTACCATCATCATCATCAAACATCTCTTATGCTCCTGGATTTGGGATTAGACCCATTCATTGCCTTCCTCTGTGGTTTACTATGTCCCTGGACCCTTTTTCCACTATTACTTAGTAACTTCTTCCAAACCCACTTCAATGGCTGGACAAATACATGCTTCTGTTTGTTTGGTTCTTCCCCCTCCAACAGGAAAGGAAAAACAAGATGCTTCGGAAGGAAATGGAGATGCTATGGAACAAGGTGTGCCTCTAAGGATCTATTGAAAGTATTGTCCTACAGATCACAACGCAAAGAACCTCCCTTTCCTCTGGCCCCCATCCTCATTGTTTCATGTCCTTGCTTCCACCCATGCCTCATTCCAATCCATTCTCTACACAGCAGCCAAGGTGATCTTTTTAAAACAATCAAAGCATGTTACTCTTCTTATGAAAAACCTTTACAGCCACTAATTGTGGCATAATCTGGCTCTTGCCTATTCTCCAGTTTCCTCTCATAGATGTCCTTCCCTTGCTTTCTATGCAACCATGCCACTGGCTTCTTGTGGTTTCTCAAACATGCCAAGCTTTTTCCTATCTCAAGGACTTTGCTCTTGCCTTCTCCACTGCCTGTAATGCTATTTTCTCATGGTTGGCTCATTCTCATCCTTCAGGTCTCAGCTTAAATGTCATCTCCTTAGAGAAGCCATCCTTGTTTGCTCCATCTAAAGTAGGGCATCCTCCTCCCCTTTTCTATTATATAACTCTGCTTATGTGCTCAATAGCACTGTTTATAATATAAAATTATTATTATTGTATTATTATTACTTTTTAAATTGTTTCTTGTTTCCCTGCCTCCTCCTGTATCTTCTCAAGCTCCTTCAATATCTTGATTGCTTTGTCCAAATCTATAGCTCCTAGCACAATGCTTGGAACATAGTAGAGAATCAATACATGTAAGTTGGATGAATAAACAAATGAATACCTAATTCCAATACCCTTATAATTTTACAGCAATCACCACATTGTTTAAGATAACAATATTAGGGCCTTTTGCTGGGAAACCAGAGCCAGGGAGTAGGGGGAAGGGGACAGGGAATTCCTTTGTCCCTTGTCCGAGACTTTGTCCAAGACTAATCCCTTGGGACCCAAGTGCTTCTTTACAGACTATGCAACTAGAAGAGTAGACTGTGTCTTGTGATATAAACAGATATATAGTGTGATCTCTGTCTTTTTTTTTCATCTGACTTTTCCACAAATAATCAGAATACCTTCAAGCCCTGCATCTTGTATTGAGATCTGCTCCAGGTTCTCGTGGGCAGTTACAAATTAGTTCTATGAATTTCCAGAAGTTTTAGTTCCTGGGTTCTTGAGTCCTCGTAATAGGAAATGTGCCAGCACAATTCCTCTATCTAAATCCAGCTTCTACAGAGCTCTCAAAAGGGACATCTATACACTTAACCTGTGATCAACTTTCCCTACTCATATTTTAGAAGAACAGCATGCCTAGTGGTCAAGAACACAGGCTTCAGAATCAGAAAGATCTGGTTCAAATTCCAACTCTGTACTTTCCTAGTTGTGTAACCCTAAACAAATAACCTCTCCAAGTCTCAGGTTTCTCATCTATAATATGGAAATAAAAATGGTCCTCAAAGAATTGTGAGGATTAAATGAGAATGTCTGCAATACAGTACAGTAAGGAAAATAAGCAGAGTAATGCAGTAAGTAGCTTAGAGTAGTGACTGGCTAAGGGTCCAGCTAATAGTTTTCATTCCTATAAGGTACACTCAAGGGACTGAATGAAAGGAAGGGCTCATTACATTCTCAACTCCCTTTGGTAGTACACTTTTCATGCCAGGCCCTGAGAAGCTGCTGACTGGCAGGAACCAAAACCTTGACCCATATTGGTTTTCCACTTCCCTCTTTAATTTCCACTACTTTAAAGCTTTGCCAAAATGTCTTTCCACAGACATTCGAGGCAGAAGAACTTAGTGATCAACAAAAAGCACCACAGACAAAAAACAAGGCAGACTTGCAGGATGGAAAGGCAAGTGGACTGCATGTACTTAAAATTTCAAGATTGTCGATGTCACACAGCTGGAAACAGCCTGCTGACAATCAGGGCTAATTTGGGTAGGCAGATAGGTAGGATCTGGGTTTTTAGGGTTTATTAGATTTATGGCCTGCTGAGACATTGCACTTCTTTCCTAGGACCTCTTATTCCTTTAGCTCTCTTCTTTCATCCCAGGCTCCCAAATCCCCCTCATCACCTAGGAAGACTGAGAGTGAACTGGAGAAATCATTTGCAGAGAAAGTGAAGGAGATAAGGAAGGTAGTACAGCCATTCTGAATGGCAGTGGCTTTTAGAGCTAGTAAACTAGAAATCTTTAATGTTGTAGTAATTTGCCTAAGGTATGGTGTGCTCTTGGACCAATGCCAATTTTTATAGATTTGGTTCCCTTGTGTTACTATATTTGAGTTAGAGTGATATCACAAGTTTCTGGGAAATCATATTACGAAAAAGTGAGAGAAGCTATACCAACAATGATAACTCTGCAACAGCTAAATGATGTCAGAACTTCCGTTCATTTGTCTTTGAAAATGTATTCAGTGGTAGTATGCTGGTATCTCATCTTCCCATAACCAACTCACCAACATAAAATAACCCTATTCATTAGCTTTTAGAGGATGGCTTGTACAGTTGAGGCCAATTAAGAGAATTGTGCAGTTAAAGTCAATTTAATAGTAAATCTGCGACACTATAATTTTGCTATAAGGCTTTTGCAGCATATTGAGAAAACTGATTGCTGATCTCAATTTACTTTGTCACCCAGAGGCTCTTTCTTCCACCAGGAAAAGCAACAGAGGAAAATGGAATGGGTCAAGTATCAGGAACAAAATAACATCCTTCAGGTACTAAGATCTTCCAAGGCTGGATATAGGATGCAATTTCATTCATATAATACAAAGGCTTTTAGCTGCATATTGTGAAGCCCAGTCCCCACATCCTAGATTACCGATTGCCCTGCTAAAACAAATGTATCATAGAAAGATAGCTGAAGGGACCTATCTCTGAACTTGGAATAAATGGTATTTCTTCCTATATTCTTGATTTCGTTCTATTCTAAATGGGGAAAAATCACAAATACTTTCTACCCAACTTTTAAAGACTGAGCATGATGGAATTACTTTTTAACTTCTGGGTAAAGAGGATTCAGGTAACAATGGATTCAGAGAAGCCAATCCTATATGTGTAGTTTTGGAAAATATTCTCTTTCAGAATGATTTTCATGGCAAAGTGATTGAGCTGAGAATTGAAGCCTTGAAGAACTACCAGAAGGCCAATGACCTGAAATTATCACTGTATTTGCAGCAGAATTTTGAGCCAATGCAAGCATTTTTAAATCTTCCTGGGTCCCAAGGTAGGTAGAATATCCCAGGTACACAGTTTGAGGTTTTGTTTTGTTTATTTTATATTGGAGACCTTTACTTGTAAAGTGAGCAACACAATGCCTGGCACACAGTAAGTTAAATGTTAGTAGTACAGTAATTAATTTTTTCATTATCTTTTTTTTTTTTTTGAGACAGAGTCTGGCTCTGTTGCCCAGGCTGGAGTGCAGTGGTGCGATCTCAGCTCACTGCTACCTCTGCCTCCCGGGTCCCAGTTCAAGCAATTCTCCTGCCTCAGCCTTCCGAGTAGCTGGGATTACAGGCACGCACCACCATGCCCAGCTAATTTTTGTATTTTTAGTAGAGACGGGGTTTCACCATGTTGGCCAGGCTGGTCTTGAACTCCTGACCTCGTGATCCACCTGCCTTGGCCTCCCAAAGTGCTGGGATTACAGGTGTGAGCCACCACGCCCGGCCTATCATCATTTTTATGACTCAGAAGCTTCTTTACTAAGGCAAAGATTCTCTCTGGGAGAACTGTTTTCCTTTGTAAAGATAAAGTAATATATTACATACTTAGCATATGTAGCTGATATATAGCTAGCACTCAATAAAATATGTTTCCTTTCCACCTCATCCCCTTTTCTAGGAATTAGAATTGTTTAATCTTATTAATCTTGCTGGAATAGACTCTGCTACTTCAAAGCAGAAGGCCAAGGAGACAGACATCTGACAAAGGTTGTGAATTTTGTCAATCCAGTTGTCCCTCTGAGAGTTTCAGCGATTTCCCCACAGAATTTACGGCAATATTAGAGAAAATAATATAGTTCATTTAAAAAATAGAATATAGAGATGGCTCTGAGGACAGGGAAAAAGTTCTTAAATTTTCAAGTATCTATGAATATGAACTCCATTTTTCAAAAAGGACACGAGATGGGAAATCATGGCCAAGGGATGACAATGTTCTATCAGTATCAGTATGTATGTTTCTAATTTCTTAGTCTTATTCTGTAAAGCGCTTAAACAGCTTACAAAAATCACAGTCAACACATAGGGTTAAATAAATATATGAGTAAATCAAAGAAAAGGGAAAATAAGTTGAAGCCGGGCAAATACACAAGAATGCATAATGAGAGTACTGTACAGCTGGCAGAGGTAGGCTACAAATTTGGTTCTGAATTTTCCAGTAAAAAGAAACATGGATTTATGAAACTCATGAAGTAACAACAAACCAATTGCTCAGGAGAAACATAGTTTTTCCTGGTGTTGAAATCTGAGAGAAATTTCTCCTCCAGGTCCATATAATGGGGGCAGGACATTGTTTGTGTGATGATAGTCGCCAATGTCTTCAACAATATTTCAAAATAAATTCAGAATCTAAATTTCCTAGGTTGTTTCTCCTCTGTTCTTTGGCATAATCTGATAAAAAGATATTAATCTGAAATTTATTTTAAGTGACAAATCACCTCAAGATGATTTGATTCAGGTACATAAGACTCTCTGGTCTGGCTTGATCCATAGGTAAATTTTAGAAAACTAGTAAGACTGAACTGACTATCCTTCAGGCAGTATTCTATGCATATTTTTCTTTCAATTTATGTTCTAATAAGAATTGGACAGCATAAAATTGGAAAGAATCCTGGAATGCAACAAGAAGCAGTATTAAATCATTAAGATACAAATTTAAAAGACAGAAGAGAAGAGGGTTATGAGGAAGACAGACAAGTCCCTGTTTTACTTCATTCAAAATTAGCTGAAGGTCATCTCAAGGGATCTATATGGTAAAGAGCCAAAAGCTTTTTAGCTCCAGAATCAAATTAAGTCTAAATTAGTAAATAAGGGTTCCATTCAACTTGATTGTCTCAGGAGATATTTTTTCTCCTTGCATGTAAAACATTGAATCAACTTTGAATTGGAACAGCCACAGATCCACATCTTCTTTTCTCTCCTTTCCTTTTATGTTCCTGGAGAATTAAATGATAGGGTACTATACGGCTTAGTTACCACAAATTAATGTAGCCACAGGCAATGGATCAATGTGTTAAATTGATTCTGCATTCATTTAGCACTAATTATGGGCCAGTTTCATTTTCTAACACATGTATTCAAACTCTATAGGTTTGTTTGAGCCCAAGTGGATTTGAAATCTAATGGAGTCCTATATTTTGGTTATGTGGCCTATTTTTTCACCTCTAGTATTTGATTATTTAAAAGCAAACAAATATTCTCTTCATAAAGGATTTTAAAACTAATTATGTAAAGAGGTTATTACCAACCTATTTGGTAATAATTTCTTAATGGTAGGTGTTGTAGTATTTTCCAACTTTGTGTATCACCTGGACTATTATTTATTCAATATTTGTTGTTTACATTGACTTCTTTAGTTTCCTAAATGCATTCCTTGAAAATAAAATTTATATTACTATTTTAAATGAAGAATCAATAGAGTTTTCCACAATAGAAGGTAAACTTAATAATAAATACACAAAAAACAAGATTTTAATGTTCTAGAAAAATACATAAGCCTGAGATCTATTTTATCTCCATTAGGAAGTGAGATTAGAAAGACATACAGAATTTTGGCCAGGCATGGTGGCTCACGCCTGTAATCCCAGCACTTTGGGAGGCTGAGGCAGGTGGATCACGCGGTCAGGAGATTGAGACAATCCTGGTTAACATGGTGAAACCCCATCTCTACAACAAAATACAGAAAATTAGCCAGGTGTGGTGGCACACACCTATAGTCCCAGATACTCAGGAGGCTGAGGCAGGAGAATCGCTTGAACCTGGGAGGCAGAGGTTACAGTGAGCTGCGATGACGCCACTGCACTCCAGCCTAGGTGACAGAGCGAGACTTCGTATCAAAAAAAAAAAAAAAAGACATAGAGAACTTTAAAGAAAGCCAGCACCAAACTGCAACTTTCTCCTTGATGCCATCAAGTTTGAAATAATTGAAAAGGCAATAATTTTCTCACTGTGATTTATAGTATTTAATGCCTTGTCCCAACACCGAAATTTATCCCAATTGCCACCTAAAATCATCTCATCATCAAATTTTGGCAAATTGTAATTTAAGGAAAAAAGCACTGAATTTAAGACTCAGATACATGAGTTGCAGGCCTTCCTCTGAGGCTCACCAGTTATATGACTTGGAAAAGTCATTTAATTTCAGGTTTTAAAAATACAAACAACATTAACATGGAGCATGCTGAGAACTTAATACCTTGTGCAACCCTCACAGTGACTCTATGAAAGGTATTATAGAACAAGAAACAAGCTCAGAGAAGCCAGGCTTCTTGGCTCCATATTCAATCCTTATTCCCTAGACTATGCTACAAAATGGATGTGTAAAAGCATGTGACTTTTCATGCCTCTTCTAGATCTAAACGCTATAATTTGAATCCAAATTTATTATCTGTTTAACGTATAATCTTCTCAGTGAAGAAGCATACTCCTAAGGTTAATTTGTTCAGTAAGAAAATGTTAACTCTGCATTTAGCCCAGTAGGTGGCACCAACCACATCCAGGCTTCAAGTCCACAGAGTGGTAATTCAGGAACCATGAAATGCTGTGGGAGAGATCGGTCTTCTATTACTCTCAGGACAAAAGGTGCCACATTCATGTATCAAATGAAAAAAGAAAAAAATTTCTTGATGTTTTATCACATGCTCTTTTGGCACCAAGGTGTATTACTGGCAGCCTTGATTAGACCATGTTAAACTCAGTGTTCTGTTGCATAATTTTTACCTAGTATTTTACTCCCTGTACTACAGTTATCTCCATTTCAAAAAACAGTCACTGCCCACTTCCTCCACAATCCTTGTAGAATAGTGTTCCCTTCCACCACAGATAAATCAGGCGATTGGGGCACTAAAAGAAAAAATGAGCACTAAACAAAAAATAAAAGATGGTGCTTATTTGAAGTTTGTATACTTAACAGTGTTACAGGACAGCGTTTCTTTTTCTCTAGTTTCAAAAGAATTGAATTGCACAAACCTGTCTTAGAGAAAGGGTGGAATATAATTTTGGACACACCTCTCAGTAAATCAGGGTACAGGCTTTTCTGTTCTAAGCATTTCCAAGTAGATGAAGAGTTTACCTCAGTACTCTTAGCCAAGAATTCCTCCTCCCACTGTCCGATGTGCTGGTTGGCTGAGTTGCAGTGGTATGATCTGTGTAGCTGGCAAAATACAATCCTGTGTTAATATTACTGATTTTGTTACACTTCAACAAATCCCTACTTGTGAATTCCCTTGATGCCCAGGATGTGGCATTACCGTCATCCATGTTATCTCTTTGGCATGCTGCCTCACTTAGTCTGTTTATACCTACGATGAAGTCTTTACTTTTGATCTTTCCGGAGACAGGTGACATTTGAAAGGATTTACTTTTCCACCAGTGTAAAATTATAATTTGATTCAGGGTGTATTGTAGGCCCTCCCTAACTTCTATAGAGTCCAGAAGGCAAGTTTGTGGACTTTGGCAGTCACCTATCTTAGAGAGCACAGGTGCTAAGCAATCTCTAAATTCAACTGAATTTCCCATCATATCTGCTGGTGTTTAAAGAAGAGGTTTATCTTCAGCAATAATATAACTTGTGTTAAGACATTTGATTCTGATAGCTTTGCTTTTCTCTCCTCCCCTCAATCCCCACCAACTCTTAGCATTTCCTTGAGCTCTTCTGAGAAAAACCTGAACGTTGGATGTGAGTATTATGCTACACTTATAAATTCAGATGAAAGCCCAGCGAAATGGGAAATGAATACTCTTTGAGACCTTATTTATTCTCTAACTCCTTCTGTTCTGAAAGCAAGTCATTCTTCCTGGCTTTAACCTTTACTTCACTTTAGTATTATTCTTCCTGATGGCTGAACTACACTTCAGCAGGTGCTGCTGAAGGGAAAATAGTAGTGTTAAGCTAAAATGCTGAAGGGCAGGGGCGGAAAACCACAGCTAGCTCAAATCCGGGTCCTTGATAAGCAGTACTGTTGCTTTCAAGTACAGGCTTTTTAAAGCTTTGAGGCAACCTGAACCTTTTGAATGTCAAAGTTAGGTTTATGGTATTAATAGGTTATAAAGTTAATTTCTAAACTAAGTCATTCTTTTACTTCTTTAATACTTCACAGAAATTCAGGGGGAGAATAAAATTCTTTTCTTCCTAAATATAAATTTTGAAGCTTGACAAAATAAACTGTACCCTTATTAATATTATTTTAATGGGTGACAACAGATTCCATAATTTGTGGGCATCACACACTCAGGAGTGCAGCAGTATGTCTAGGAAAATGTTATCATATTTAGCAAATAAAAAGGGATACCCTATTAAATTTGAATTTCACCAAATAATTTTTAGTATAAGTGTGTCCCAAATATTTCATGAGATATATGAAAAATTATTTGGTGTTTATATTAAAATTCAAATTTAACTGGGAGTCCCATATTTTAGTCTGGCAACTCTAATTTAGAACAGACTCACTATCGGTTGTATTTAGCACCCTATAATTCTCCCTTTTTCTCCTTTTCATTGCCTCCCTTCTCACCCTACGCCTACCATTCTGTCTGCTTCCTCTTTCTCTTCCCCATCTTCACCTTTATCTTTTGTTTATTCTCCACTATCTATAATTGACCATTTTTGTGAAATATATCTATCTGGTTTATCTGAGGGTATGTATATATACACATAACTTATTATTCCACTTCTTTATTTACTTGCATATAATTCTTAAATGATTTTTCCCCCTGTGGGACATGAGCTGTAAACAGAAAAACAGTCTGCCACTCCAACTTCTGAAATATTGTTTGACAAAGTTATTTTCTAAAAAAAAAAAATCAGAAAATTCACATCAATGCTAATACCCACAGTGATACAAAACAAAACAAAACTAGTGGTTTTTTTTTTTTTTCCCCCTCAAAAGAAGCTCTTATTTTCCTAATGTTTCCCCTTAGGTACTATGGGCATTACAACTATGGACAGAGTGACTACTGGCAGAAATGAACACCATGTGGTGAGAACTACTTTCTTTAAACAAACAAAAAATCGTTTTAAGGGCTTGAATAGATAGTGGGTATAGATTTTTGGAATGCATTGCTTAACATATATTCTAATTTAATATTTTAGGGGATTTGCAGAGTGGGTGCTAGGGTACTCAATATTTTAGCTGTCCTTTTTCCTCTGTTTTTTCCTGTCTAGAGAATTCTGGGAACAAAGATCTACACAGAACAACAAGGAACTAAAGGAAGTCAGCTTGATAATACAGGAGGGAGACTCTTTTTTCTGAGGTCATTGCCAGATGAAGCACTGAAGAATTAGCAGGCTTTCGCTCCATTTGCTTTGGACAGATTTAAAGACTAGGCACAGCCATTTGTGTTAATTAAAATCTCTCGCACCTTTGTTTTAGTGCTGTTTTCCCTCTCTCCCCCGACCAATCTGGGTGGAAATGTTGGATGTCTGGCCTTAAACATGTATGGAATGTAGTCATTTAGGGATTGTAAACAACCTCTGATTATTTTGATAGCTTTTGGATTTGAAATGACCACATTTCAACCACATTATACAATATGTTTTTACTAAGTCCATAAAAAGGAGCTTCTCTCCACTTCTGAAGTATGTAATTGTGGACAGATCCAACAGTGGGAAATGAGAAAAAGTAGGTATAAAATAAGTAAAATTATATACCACAGACTTCTTTTACTCTCTCACCAAAAACATCAAAATGACCTGTTGATTCTGCCTCCTTGTTATCTATTCCTTGAATATCATCCACTTTCCTAGTACCACTGTGGTTTTGTTTTTGTTTTTGTTTTTTTCCCCAGGCCCTCCTTCCTGCCTGGATTACCATAGCCTCTTAATTGGTTTCCCCTGCTTCCAGTTCCTCTAATTCATCTTCCACAGTACCACTGAAGCTATCTTTTATAAAAGATAAATGAGATCATGTCATTCCCCTACTGGTTTCTCGCTGAAGTCCAAGGTCCTTCACAGACCATAAATGATATGCCTCCTGCCTACCTTCTCTGTCTCATCTTTCACTATGTCCCCCTTTTCTCATACATCCCACATTGAGCTCCACATTACTATTAATATTTACAGTTCTCCCCATGTATCATTAGTTCTATTAGGTCCATGCACAAAGTGGAAGGATACTTCTCTCCTTTAGCTATGACCATTGCCTGTTTGTCTTAAGGACTGAATGTGCTGCCCTTCTATCCCACTGATACTCAATCCTAGCTGTGTATTGGAATCCCCTTAAGAGCTTTGAAAAATAGCATTCTACTGGGCCCCGCCCCTGATAATTTAAATTATGGTAACTGAGCGATAGGGCAAAAGCATCCGTATTTTTTAAAAGCTTCTCAAGAAATTCTAATGGGCAATCAGGTTTGAGACTTGTTGCTAGGCTCTCTTACTTCTGTCACAGCACTAATTGAACTCTATCGCAATTATTGGTTTATCCAGCTACCTTCCTCATCAGGTGGTGAGCTCTTTGAGGGCCAGGATTCTATCTTGCTATCTTTTCATTTTGACTGCTTAACACAGTGCCTAGCATTTTAAAGAGGCTCAGTAAATGATATGTAGAAGGCCACAGAAAGTTAATTTCCAAGTCCCAGGTCTCTCGATGTCTTGCCTTGTGTTAATTACCACGGGATTATATCATAGTTCCTGAGATCTTCAGATATTTTCTTTCACTCTAAGTTGTCATTAATTTCCTATCTCATGTCAGTATAGAAGAGTTGATTTGTCACAAAACACTTCATAATCTGTAGGAATCCCTCATACTTTCTGGTAATAAGCAAAGTGAGCCAGCCAATTCAAAATCTTCTTTTTCTCAATGTCAATTTAAATCTTTAAAGATGCATTTTAAATATGAATTTTTAAATGTACTTTTGCACTGGAAACGGTTTACAAGAAATCACAGAATTTTGGCATTAGAAGGAACTTTAAATAACTATAAAGTTTCCTTCACTTTCCAAAAAAGGATACTGGAGTTCAGATACATTGAAAAGGTGTCTAAATTCCTACAGTTAATTGGGGCCAGGGCTGGTTACCAGAGCCTAGGTATTAATACTGCCAGTTCATATTCCAATCTAAATTGTATCTTTCCTCTCCTAACCACAAAAATAATGGCCTCTAAAACCCTGAGGTGATTAGTTTAATATTCTACCAACTGAGTTAGTGGAGTATGTAATTTACATTGTTTCAAGAAAGCCATCACTGTACTTATTTAGTCCCTGGGAGATTCTGGCAGTCCTGAGAGATTTTCCAAGTCAATTGGATTAGACAGAGCAATGAGAACAAAAGATGAAAATATAAAATCTGAATGTACTACTGATTACCTTGAACTAGTCATTTAACCTCAGGGCTTTAGATTCCCAATTTTAAAATTAAATTAAAAGAGCATCATTTGAATGTTTTAAAATTATGGGTTTGTTTTTTTTTTTAACCACTACAGTGAGTTTGAATTCGTATATGACCTCCCTCCTTTTTTTTTTTTTTCTTGTTTGTTGTTAACTAAGGCATGGAATAAAGTAGTTTACTTGGTAGCTGAGGTTGTAACTTCTTAAAAAGTGAATTATTTGCCATTGCCAAAGTATTTACATTTTATGTTCATTACCAGTCAGGCTTAACATCTTTCCTTCAAATGTTCCAAACCTTTCAATTTTTTCAAAACACAAAACTGGGATAGCCTGTTATCCTACTTTGTCTTTAGGACTTTATATTGGACTCTGACTTTCATAAGGGCAGTATAAAGTTATCAGTTAGATTGGGTGACTCCTCATGAGTGTCTGCATTTCAGTGAATCCAGGAAATGGATCTCAGTTTTGTGAGTACAGACAAATTTATATGGTCAACTTATTCAAAAGGTCAGAGACTTATTCAAGCTACTCAAACTCCCAAGAGATTAACTGATACACCCAATATTAAATTACAGAGAGGGCTATTACCTTACAATTTGGTGGGAATATGTCTATATTTAGGGTATTCCTATCTCCAAATCAAGTTATAGTAAACTGAACTAGTAATCAAAAAGTACTTGGGATTGAAACATCATTATTATAGTTTTATTTGTGCTCATAATATTCTGATTATATTCCTCTGAGAATAAAATCTCTGATAACCTTAACCACATATGGGCAATACTTTTCAATTTCAAGGTCAATTGAGGAAAAACCTGTCCCACCAGCAATACATTTACAAATCGTAACTTTGGGTAGACTATTTTTGTAACTTATCTCATTTATTTTATCTTGACTTTCTAGCCATGCAGAGGATATCAGCTAACATTCTATCCCAAAAAGTTGCCTTTTTGCATTGCCAGAAAGTGATTAGTAATGTCTGTCACACTTCCTAAATGAAATAAGGCCAACAACAGCCTGATACTTTCATCTTTAGTCTAGAATTGCAATAATCAAAGAGGGGAAGCGACAACACATAACATTTTGCCTTACACTCGTAGATCCAGGCAGAAAATCTAGTTTTAGTGTTGTTTATGTGAACAGTGGCCACCTTAGGTGGTGTCTCTCCTTTTATTGGTAGAGGCTTCTGTAACCTGTTGCACGCCAAGTAAAATCTCTATTGGTCCCTCTGGCACCTTGGAAGGAGCCTGCATTGCTACCAATTCAAAGTCCCTGTTGATTCATATGTTCTGTATTTAGTCAACAAATATTAGGAAATGGGAAGAGAACAAGGTCCCGTGCTGGAAAGGGAGGCTTGGTCTGCAACCAGTCAATTTCACGGCAGGAGATGCACAGGCAGATACATATGAAATATAATTATTACATGGCAAAAGTGAGAATTTTTCAGGACAACTAAAAATCCATCTTCTCTACTTCTTTCACAAATTCACTTATGATTCCTAACATGAAAACTTAAGTTTCATTTTAAGTATAAAACATGATATAAACATTCCTAGAAACTATATTTCTCCCAATTATTAGTCAACCTAGGGAAAGTGAGATTACTTAGGTTAACAAAATAATTTTTGTTTTGTACGTTGCTTTTTAAGGAAAAATATTTTTCTGGGGATGCTGGGTTTTAAGATAAATTTTAGTTACATAGAAACCAATGAATAATGGTAGAAAAGCATGATGCTTTTGATTTTTTAAAAGGTCCACTTAAAGTCAATCCATGTCAGTTTTTAAGCTTGGACTATCTTTTCTTGATATATATACTGAATCCTAAAAACTGAAGGCATTGCAGACAGAGCCCTTTTAAGAAATCAAATAGCTTCTGGGGCAATTAATATTACTTTCCAATTTAGCAAATCTCATTTTCCTTTCCCATATCTAATGATCTTTCCCTCTTCTAGAAAATACTGCCCTTCTCTTTTATGGTCTACCTTTTTTTTTTTTTCTTTCAGGAGGGAGAAAAATTAGTGCTTCCTTTAGAAATCAAAATTTTTGTTCCTGGTTTTCTTCTTTTATCAGATACACAGCCACATAAATAAATGGAAACTTCGTACATTTGTAAATTGTCAGTACATACCTAGGAAGAACTTCTCTACCTTCTGAATATTAATATGTGACTATATAGGCAGAATTAAAGGTATATAAACTGGAGCCCTCAGGAAAGTATAACCTCTATAGTATAATGGAGAAAGAGGAGTTTGTAATTTGTCTTATAAGTGCTTTGCAGATTGGCACATGATGTAAATCTATGATTCTCAGTTTTGGTTCTTGGGATCCTTTACATTCGTAAAAATTGAGGATTTTATGGAGCTTTTGCTTATGTAGGTGATATGGTTTGGCTCTGTGTCCCCATCCAAATCTCATCTTGAATTGTACTCCCATAATTCCCAGGTGTTGTGGCAAGAACACGGGGGGGAGATAGCTGAATCATGAGGGTGGTTTCCCTCATACTGTTCTCATGGTAGTGAGTAAGTCTCATGGGATCTGATGGTTTTATCAGAGGCTTCTGCTTTTGTGTCTTCCTCATTCCCTCTTTGCCTGCTGCCATCCACGTAAGATGTGACTTGCTCCTCCTTGCCTTCCGCCATGATTGTGAGGCATCCCCAGCCACGTAGAACTGTGAGTTCTCTACTAAACCTCCTTCCTTTGTAAATTGCCCAGTCTCAGGTATCTCTTTATCAGCAGCATGAAAACAGACTAATACAGTAGGTTACCTATATTCAAATTTCCAGATTAAAAAATTTTAAATATACTAAATATTTACTATAATGGGGTACTGATCTAAATTATACCCTAGAGCCAGATGCTGTGGCTCGTATCTGTAATCACAGTTACTTGGGAGGCTGAAGCAGGAGGATATCTTGAGGTGAGGAGTTTGAGACCAGCTTGGCCAACACAGAGAGACTATGTTTCTCTTAAAAACATATGAATATATATTTGTGTGTGTACACACACACACACACACACACACACACACACAGCCTAGAGAAGCCAATGCCATCTTTTTGCAATGTAGGAAGAGCCAAGGTGAGAATGAAGTTAACAAAGAAGAAAGCATAGCTCAAAGTGACATCCTAATGACATAGTTTCAGACTCTGAATCTAGCCAACCCTGAAGCTACACAAGTCCAGACTTGTTAGCTGCATAAGCCAATGAATTTCTTTTGGCTTCAACTAGGATCAGTTGCTTGCAACCAAGCATGTCATCAGACATCTGGGTTTCCAATCGTGGGCTTCAGGGAAATAGAGTAACTGAAGCCAAGAAAAGCAAAACTGCAGATAAGGGAGGGCTACTGTGTACTTCATGCTACTGAATTGTACACTTTTAAATGGCTAAAATGGTAAATTTTATGAATGTGTATTTTACCATTTAAAAAATGGTGAGGATGAAGCTTTGGTTGCTTTAAATGTATTTTTTCCCCAAAGAAAGATAGATTATGGTCAAGAAGAACTTTAAATTGGCTGAATTAGGCTTTGTATTTTTTCCCCTAGAATTGCTGTAACTAATTCTGGTCTGAAAATAGGTGAGTACAATACAATAAGATATTTTGAGAGACAGAGCCCACATTAACATAACTTTTATTACAGTAAATTGTTATAATTGTACTATTTTATTATCAGTTATTTCTGTCAATCTCTTACGGTGACTACTATATAATTAAACTTTATCATAGGTATGCACATGTAGGAAAAGACATAGAGGAGAGTCTGGACCCAGAAAAGCCCAATGAGATTTGGCCTTGCTTATACTGAAATTGTGGGCCAGGCGCGGTGGCTCATGCCTGTAATCCCAGCACTTTGGGAGGTTCAGGCAGGTGGATCACAAGGTCAGGAGATCGAGACCATCTTGGCTAACATAGTGAAACCCCGTCTCTATTAAAAATACAAAAAATTAGCCAGGCATGGTGGCGGGCGCCTGTAGTCACAGCTACTCTGGAGGCTGAGGCAGGAGAATGGTGTGAACCCGGAAGGCGGAGCTTGCAGTGAGCCGAGATAGTGCCACGGCAGTCCGGCCTGGGTAACAGAGAGAGACTCCGTCTCAAAAAAAAAAAAAAAAAAAAAGAAAAAAAAGAAATTGTGATTAACCACAGAAAAACTAAGAGTTAACTGGTGGGCTAAGTGTAAATATACCAGTACTAGGAAAAAACTAACTTCAGGCCGGTCACAGTGGCTCACGCCTGTAATCCCAGCACTTTGGGAGGCCGAGGCAGGTGGATTACCTGAGGTCAGGAGTTCAAGACCAGGCTGGCCAACATGGTGAAATCCCATCTCTACTAAAAATACGAAAATTAGCAAGGCATAGTGGCACACACCTGTAATCCCAGCTACTCGGGAGGCTGAGGCAGGAGAATTACTTGAGCCCAGGAGACAGAAGTTGCAGTGAACTGAGATGGTGCCACTGCATTCCAGCCTGGCTGACACAGCAAGACTGTCTCAAAAAATAATAATAATAATAATAACTTCATTTCTACTGAAATATAAAGTTTCATTCCATGATAATTGTAATGAAAGCCACATGTTAACCTATTTTTTTTATGTTGTCTTGGATGGTTAATGGCAACTCTTGTAGTTTTCATGATGAAAACCCTAAGAATGGAAAGAATAACTCCCTGGGCACTTCTAATTATTTACATACAAATTCCCACCCCAACCCACACCACACCCCATGTCCCATGTTTCCTGAGACATTTATCAATATTTGGAAAATGGCACTCTCTCCTACCTTTCAGAAAATTTTCTTTGGCATAATATTGATTCCAGGATGAATTCTGAAGAATGTCACACTGTAACAAGAGTAATAGTGTGTACATATTATAATATTCATTCAATAACCATCAGTAAAAGTTCACTCTAGACAGTAAAGTCACTGCGTTTTTCCTTTGTAAGGTTTGTAAAAGGTTGCTGAATTTGAGAAAGATGAATACACTTAAGAAAAACGGTTGAAAGACAAGCATTATAATTTAGTTCCATTATTATTTTTTAGGAATTTTAATACTTACAGTCAGTAAAACATAATGAATGTTAATAAACCTCCATATACTTTAGAACAGGGGTCCCCAAACTCTGGGCCATGGACAGGTACCCATCTGTGGCCTATTAGGAACCAGGCCACACAGCAGGCAGTAACCATTACTGCCTGAGCTCCGCCTCCTGTCAGATCAGTGGCTGCATTAGATTGTCATAGGAGCATGAACCCTATTGTGAACTGCGGATGCGTGGGATTTAGGTTGTGGCTTCTTATCAGAATCTAATACCTTATGATCTGCAGTTTTCTAGAACAGCTTCATCCCGAAACCATCAACCCTCCCCATCTCCATCCATGGAAAAATTGTCTTCCACAAAACAGATCCCTGGTGCCAAAAATGTTGGGGACTGCTGCTTTAGAAAATTTAATTCATATCCACCCTTCCCACTTAAATTTTAATGAATTTAACCATCACCCCTTTTATGAATGCAGAAAGTTAGTCTCTTGTCCTCTTATTATTGATTTGTGAAATAAAGTGCCAGTTTTCTTCCATGAATAATTACAGAATATTCTAATTAAAGGAGTGCTTATTTAGTCTACCACTATACTTAAAAGGTACTTATTTAGTCTACCATCTTATTTAAAGGATGAAGGAAAAGGCCCAAATTTGTTTAGGGTCACAACCTGTTAGTGGGCAGGTTTAGACCTTACGTCTAAGATAGATGTAAGACAGACGATAAGCTCAAGATATTTTCTAATCATTTAGAGTGTGTTGCAGAGAATAGAGATAGGTTAGGAAGATAACAATATAACCAACTATTTGCTCTTCATGTTTAGTTTGAGATAACGGAAATCATTCTCTTGGACATACTTTCTTATCTTTATCTCTCATTTCAAACTAGTTAACAACCCGTTGGCCACCAGGATCTAAGGTGACAATGATAGGGAATGAGTTCATGACCTGGCTTAAATTTTTAATTACTGTCAAAAATACCAGCAATACACATACTAAAAACAAAAACAAAAGCAAAAAAGCCATTAATTTATTTTACCCACTTCAATTCCATCCATCATCTACTTTTAGGCCCCATTATTTAAAATGAAATACATAAGCACGTGAATCTTCAGAGGATGGGTAATTTCATGTTCCAACGGAACAATAAAAAACTCATAATCGGCCAGGCACGGTGGCTCACACCTGTAATCCCAGCACTTTGGGAGGCCAAGGCGGGCGGGTCACGAGGTCAAGATCTTGATCGAGACTATCCTGGCCAACATGGTGAAACCCCGTCTCTACTAATAATACAAAAATTAGCTGGGTGTCGTGGCACGCGCCTGTAGTTCCAGCTACTCGGGAGGCTGACGCAGGAGAATCGCTTGAACCTGGGAGGCAGAGGTTGCAAGTGAGCCGAGATCGCGCCACTGCACTGGAGCCTGGCGACAGAGCGAGACTCCGGATCAAAAAAAACCAAAACCAAAACCAAAAAAAAACCTATCAAAGTGACTTTGAAATTTGTGTATAAACACTGATATACATCTTTTAATACTTTGCTTTTCACTTTTATGCCTCCAGGTTACTACAGCTAAGAAGAGAAAACATATACATATGAGTGTGTGTACACACACACACACGCATATAACTTTTTAAAATTCAGAAGTTGAAAGGTCCAGAACGATAGTAAGAAACTAACGTAGAATAGCCACAGGTGATTAATAACACGTTTCATGAAAGGCACATGGAAATAAATGGCAACAAAAGCTACTTTCATGGTAATCTCACATCCCACGAATACTGAAATGAAAATCGCCGCGGCAATGGACTGTGGTTCAGGTGGAACACGTTCTCGTTCGCTAAGGAGATTGATGCTTTTCATCTAAAAGCAGCGCTCATGGCGAAGAGGCTTAAGGCCACAAAACCGTGGGACAGCAGGAGGAAGAGAAGCCAGGTATCTCCACTCCAGCTGCCCTGCCTCAGACTCCTCAGTTTCGCACGTGAGGATCGTCTTGCAGGCACTGACTGGAGATGGAATCCTAAAGCATAGGTGAAGCGGAAATCCTCCTTCAGGGAGAGCCCACTGAGGAAGCCAGCGGCTAGCACGAGGCAGGACAGGATACCTCCCTCTTCGCCCACGGCGGCCTCTCTGTCATAGTAGCCACCGTTCTGCCACTCATGCAGCTTTCTAAGACACCTCTCGGTTCCCCAGCGCTTTCAGTGGGGCGGCCGGCCATTCCCGAGGGTTGCAAGAGGAGGCCCGGGGTGCTGAGCCAGCCTCGCTGCCCCCGCGTAGAAAGCCGGCCCGCCGGCGAGAGCCAGCCTAAGGCGCGGACAACCAACGAGGTGTCAGGCTCGGCAGGGGATTGCTTCTGTCTGGGGCCCGGCCGAGGTTGCGTTCGTGCCTCGCGCGCACACGCTCCGCGTTCACTCAGCCAATCCGGTGCTACTCGCGCGCCCAGGAGCGATCCGCGGTCCTACTCAGGCTGGGCCGGCTCCTTCCCGCTCCCAATACTCAGCACCCGAGCTCTCACTCCTCCCCTCACTCTCCACGAGTTCCACGCCTAGGGGTGTAGCTCCGCCCTTGTCCCCGAGTCCGCCCCCGCAACCTCCAGAGCGTGTGCTATCCTTTCCTCTCAGTCCTGCCATCTAGCTGCCTTGGGTCTCGCGCTCCGCAGAGCGTTCCGACACTCTCCGGCCTCGTTCTGCCGCCTCCGCGCGCTCTCCCCGTGCGGCCACCGCGCCCCCCAAGCTTGCCTCCTTCTTGCCGGACTTGGGGCCGCGCGCCCTGACTCCTTCCCCTCCCGCGGACCCGCGCACTCCCGGCGCGGCCTCTCCCCCACGCAGGCCACCGTGCACTCTGTGGCCTCCCCCTCCTTCCCCGCTCTCCTCGCGCTTCTCTGGCTCCCTAGCTGTCGCGCTCTCCTCGGCGAGCGCGCTCCCGGCCCGCGCGCTCCGGGCTCCGGTTTCTCCCGGCTCCTGTCAGTGCGGTGACTGCGCTGGGAAACATGGCGACCGAGGGAATGATCCTTACTAACCACGACCATCAAATCCGTGTCGGAGTCCTTACAGGTAACCGGGGGAGGAGGTCTGGGACCTATGAGGCTGCTGTCCCTGCATTGCCTTAGGCTTTTCGCCTGTGGTGGCCCTTCTCTGCGGCCTCGGGAGGAGGGAAGGCTGAAGAAGGGAACCGCGGGGGTGCATTTTACAACCGCTGAGAACCGCCGGAGATTGGGGGTGTTCCCGCGGGTCCCCTCCCCCAGGCCCCAGGAGCCGGGGTCGACCCCGTGGGATGTTAGGCCCCAGCGCCTTCGGAAGCAAAGTCCTGGGCCCCCGGGGACCGAGGGGCCGGTGCGGAGGGCGCTGCGGGGCTCCGCGCTGTCGGTGCAGGCGGCGGGATCCCGGCTCCGCAGTCTGAAGCATGCCGCTCTCGGCTGGCCTGGGCGCATCCTCCGCTAGTGCTCTTCAGAGAGAGGGGGGAATCCCATCTCCACCCCCTTCCTCTCCTTCCCTTCCCCCCACCTGGGCGGCCCCACGCCAGTATCTGTGCTTGCCTGGACGAGACTCAGGTGTTAATCAGATGAAACTGCTCCTCCTCGGGTTGTCCCTCGCGGGCCGGGCGTCCCCTCAGCCACCCATGGGGCACCCTTCGCCTCCCTCGGGGGATGGGGGATCGGCTTGCGTCCGGACCTCGGAAAGTGTCTGCCTTCTGCCTTTCCGCGCAAAAGGCCCTCTGTCTGCCTCGTCGTTTCCTTAGCGAGGACGGGCTGCAGCCTGCTGCCGGGGATCCAGCTTTTTACTTGAGAGGGCAGGATTCCCCTACTCGGGCTCCTCTCCCCCTCCTTTCTGGGAACCCCCACCCCGGTAGAGCGTCCCGAGGCTGGTGAGGAGCGCACTTTTCCCGGGTCGCGTTTCCCTCCCTCGCGAAAGCCGTGTGTGTTCTGCATGTCTGATTCCGTTGCGCTGAATTTGGTTAATATCCGTCACTTCGGCGATCGGCAGTTGCTGCAGGGCATGACTTCCAAGATGAACAGCAAGCGGATTTGTAGGGGTTTCTGCTGTGGTTCTGTAATTGGCAAGGTTTATGTGTAATTGAGTGGCGAGACGGGGGTTAAAGAACTATATTTGGAATCTGAGGGCTTAGTTTGGAGTGAAGGAAATCCAAGACTCAGTGATGTGATTTCGGAAAAAGAAGCAGTGTGGACGGGAATCCTAGTGTTTCCCTTACTTCTTTTTTTAATTTTTTCTTTAACTGTCAAATTCTGACAGGTCGAGACGGTGCTCGAGAAGGGACTAAATTGAATAAGACTTGCTTTTATTATTAGGTAGAAAAAAAATGTCTGAGACTGCCGGCAGATATTGAGTGCAAAGCTTAATTTAGCTGCTGAATTTTATGAAAAGGTGATATCCAAAGCCTCCTTTTTTCTCTTTTAAGTAAAGGATTGCCTTTCCCTGGTATTCTTTCCGTATATCGATGGTGATTAATTGAATTTTCCTAATTAAAAGACCCTTGGATAGAGAAACTAGTCTAAACCAGTTGCAGAAAAGGGAACCCCCAAATCAGAAGGTGCGCTGTTCTCTTCTTTTGGTCCTGAAACTGTTTGGGTATGTGAAGATTCAGTTGTATTTCAGAATTCCTGGAGCTGACATTGCCAATTTTCGAATAATCTGATGGTGGGATGTCAAAGTGTATATCTTTTATCTACCCTCAACTTGCACTTTAAATTCCAGCCATTCTTTGACAATAATAGAGTAGTGAGAAACCAAAATATGTCAGTTGTCTGTGGAAATAAAAAAGGCCATAGATGTTTAAAAGTTAAACCGTAGAAACATTTTTAAAATGAACATTTTCTACTTAAGCTTTCCATTAAATAATAGTTTCATTTAACGAATCAACTTACCTTTGTGAAGTGACATAGCAGATAGGTGTTGTACAGACTGCTTTGAAAGATGCAGCCCTTATCTGGTGTCCCTACAGTCTAATATGGATAACATTGATACGCAAACAAATGAAGAAACATTGTATGTAATTATTGTGCAAAACTTTTCTAAATACATTACCTATGAGTTTGGGGTTAACTGCAAAAGAAATTCCGTATTCAGATGGATTAGGAGAGAATGTGACTACCTGAAGGGAGAATTTAATACATTTACTAGGTCAAGAAGAAACTGTCAATTTTAAGGGGAGTTGAAAGTCAGCAGCCACTTTATAAATAAATATATAGTTGATGATGAGGCTTCTGAGCTAAATAAAAATGCAATGTAAAGGCCTTGAAAAGCTGAAGTGGAATGGGTAGGTGGCATAGGTAAAATGTTAGAGAGAAGGTAACATTAACATTGACAGTGGAATTAAAGACAGTCAGGGGAAGCCGTCTCATGAGAATGAGGTACAGTAGTCTAGGGGGAAAAGTCTAGGGCCAGGAACAAGGATGTAGCTGAAGGAATGAAAAGGCAGCTACAGATTTGGAATAAGTGATAATAGAGGAAAATAGGTTTTGATGATAACATGTATATTTGAAGTCAGAAGTAACTCAGGCTTTTTCTTGAAAGTTGTTGATACAGATATTGTCTACTATGATGGAGAGGAAAGAAAACTGATTTTTCTCAAGTCTGTAACTAGTGGGTTTCATTATCAACAGCTTAATTTCTGTGGTCTTGCCTGATATACCATATGATTTGGGGGAAAGAACTTACAAAAATGAAGCTGTGCTGTACAATTTTGTGTATTCTAGAACTTGAGGTTTTGCAGTTTTACTATGTAGAATTATTCTTTACTGAACTGAAGTATTGTGATTTCATACTTAAGAAAGTTGAGTTGAACTGTGGTTTTTGTAAATTATTATTTGTGGCTCTTAAAAGGTGGAGGGTCTCTTTTAGAAAATCTCCTTGGCATGCTTCGTAATACTAATTTTAAGTATTTTATCTATATCTATTTTACAAAGATAGTGGAAAGTGTGATCTACCCACACACACATTTTACAATATGTTACTTAGTATTTTGTGAAGTCATATTGTCATTTCTAAAGTTTTTAATTGACGTTGTGACATTTTTTATTACCTGTTGAAAGATATTTGTTCTTTGAAACTTTTCATCCATTAGATGTTTTCGTTATCTTCATTTCAGTTGTAAATTTGGCAAATTTAGTACATAGTCTGTTGAGACTTCTCATTAAATAAATTAATTGTATTAGGTTTATGAAAGAATAATGGTAGAAAGGGAAATATTTAGCAGAAGCATTTTTTTGCTTCATTATTTTGAATTATTAAGCACTTGAAAATGAGATTATGATAATTAATGTAACATGGATATTCTAATTATACTTTTTTTTAAATCAGGAAAATGAGAACATATATGTATATAAAATAGGCTGTATGTGGAAACATTTTATGTTGAATATTATTGTCCATCTCTAACAACAATAACTTTGTTCGAAACTGTCTTATGTTGACTTGACAGAAATGAAAGTCACATGGTGTTTGGTGACCTAAGGTCTAGTTTGAAATATTTCTGTGTCTAATTAGTTGTCTACTTGTATTACTATTTATAGAAGAGACTAGAGGTAATATGGTAATGAGTAACATGAAGCAAATAAACAAGTATCTGCTACTTGAAAACTAGAAACAGGATGTGGTGCAGATGTAGAATTTTTTTCTAACAGCTTTAGTAGTGATTATACTTGAAGTCAATCTTACCAGTTACATAGCAGGCTCACTATATCTGGAATATGTCACTCTTCACATACTTTTTTCTATTTTGAAAGAAGCTGTTTATCAAAGCAGCATACTAGTTTTACCTGTAAAAGCTCTACAGAAACATTACTAGGAAAATAATGACTACATGTATGTATAGAATGTAGAATCATATAGATTATTCCATTGGCTACTGAATATCGTATTAGTTCGCTACAGCTAATGTTTGATACCAAGGTACTTAGCTGAAGATGATAATCCATTACCTAAATTGTCACTAATAGGGGCATGAATGAGAAAAAGGTACAAATTTTTGGGAAAGGGCATTTTTAAAAATCATATTTTTGCTGTAGTAATATACATTTTAATTGCACTAACCTGTTGATTTGAAATCAGTAAGAGATACTGGAACAAATATAAGACTAGGTACTAGAGATTAGTTAAAAGACTAATTGTAAATGAGAACATCAAAATATTACAGTAACAGGTAGGGAGTATTTCAGTTATTCATAAATGAAGTCATTCAAAGTATTAAAAAAACAAGCTTGAGCCAAGCAGATGCTACTGTCATAACTCTGCAATTGTTTAAGCATTTACTTTTTTACATTCTTGAAACCTGTTCTGGTATATTATGTGTCAATATTATTTTCTGAAAAGCCCATTTATTGATAAGGATATATACATATTATATCTGTTTTGAGAATAGATGTCATTAAGTAGGCAAATTACTATTAAATCCTACTAAGTGGAACTGTATGTTCTGCCTAACTTAGCTGTTTTTTTAATATGTGTTTTTAATATTGATCTATATGACTTGAAAGGAATCCTATTTCTTGAAATAGATTGTTATTTTGTGAATTTTTTGTTGAAAGCAATGTATTAGAGAATTAAATGTTTAGGCAAAGTAGGAAAATGTTAAATTAATTTCTAATGAATATACTTAGTACTATTATCATTGGTCAAAGACTTGAAAAAGTATTAGTTGCTATACAATAAGAATTTTAACTATATTAAAAACACATGTGACAATTTGACTTCAAAGTGAATATACTTAATACTATCATCACTGGCCAAGGACTTGAAAAAGTATTAGTTGCTATACAATAAGAGTTTTAAATACATTAAAAACACATACAACTATTTGACTTCAAGCAGGCATATAGTGGAAAGTCAATAGTATGTTTTTAGGGAGGAAGTGACGAATAAGAGTCTATTTTTAATCTTGCTAGTGATAGATTCCTGGCTAAGTTGAACAGGGTGTTTTTAAAAACAATCAGTAAAATAGATAAAATCTATTACTCTGTTTCTGTAAATAGGATTGAAGAATAATGAAGCATATTTGGAATTTGAAAGGTATTAAAAAAAGATCCTGAAAAAGAAAGTAGTGAAACCACAAAGGATTTCTTCCTTCACATCTGGGCAGAGAAGATAAATACCAAGGAAGAAGAAAAGATTGTTTAACCTACTTAAAAGTAATTGGGACTGTAGTCAATATGAATGGCATCTAATCTCACTTTCATTAAAAAGTTTTTTTGAGTGACCTCTCAAAAAGGAAATGTTTAATGAAGTATTGCTAGGTAGAAGTTCTATCCAGGTTCTTTAATGAATTTATAAACTAAATTGTTTTTAATAAATTAATTTTAACTAAGTAGAGCTTCTTGAAAATTTTGTGTTTAAACAACCCCAACAATTTTAACAGTAGCTTTGTCAGTATTTATACATTTCGAAAGAGTGTAATTAAATTTACCATGCTTTAAAAAGAATTCTTAATTTGAAAAATAAAGCAGCAAGGAAATGAAATATGATGAAGGAATTGTCACCATAATTTGGGGCATTCTTCTCAAACTGGAGTACATGACATTGTGTCAAGGGATACCTATAAGGCTTAGAATCTAAGCCACAGGAACAAACATAATAATTTTTTAAGTACCAATTTTACTTGATGGTATTAATTTAAATAACTTTAATATTAAGATAAGCATAAGTAAATTAGGCACAAAGTATAGAATTCATATGAGGCTTTAAGATGAAATTAGAAACTTCAAAGAAATTTCAAGTGAGCCCATTATATTTCAAGTGAGCTCCAGATCTCGTCATTCTTCTGCGTTATTGACACTTCATGGCAAAAAATTTAAGGAGCACTGAATCATAGAAAGAACACTGTAAGAACTATGTTCTCATACTATTCTGGCTAGTAAAGTTTTGTAACCTTCAGTATATTGTGTAACCCTCTCTCAGCTTTTCTTACCACTAAAATGAAGAAATCACTCTCTAAGATCACTTCAAGGCTCTCATGGCAGTATATGTTTCTATCTTTTAGCATTCTGACCAGCAGGAAAGAGAAATATAGGATATTAGACCTAGTTAATTTTTTTCTGTCTTTATAATGGGAATGATTATAGGGGAGGGTAGGTTATACATAAAAATGCAAGAGAATAAGAAATAGAATAATGATCAAAGAAGGAAAATATTTAGATTTTTTATTTAGAAATTTTTGTGACATTAATCTTTCTGTTATTAGCAATCTTACACTTAGGTTTCAGACACAGCTCAGGACTGACTTTGTCAATAAAATATTTCCTAGGAATTATTCTCTTCAATGATGTCTTTCTTTGTTTTCCTTACAACGTTTATAAATGTTGTCTATACCCTGTAATCTATATGTGGGAGGCTGCATGGTGTAGCTTAAAAAGGATAGAACTTTGGAGTCAGATAGACTTGGACTTCAGACCCTCATTTGCCCTTTATTTTGGGAAGTCATTTCACCTCTCTGAATTTCAGTTTTCTTCTCCGAAATGAAGATGGCAATATCTACTTTACAAAGTTTTCAGAACTAATAGAGGTAACGCATATGAAAATGCCTAGCATTTTCAGATGAGATACTCAGTTATTTTTGGTTCCTTCCTCTTTGTATGTTGCTTTGGGAGCAACTTGCCACAGTTTCGTGTATACATGTCTTATTCAAAGTAGATTTTAAAGTTCTTGAGATATATGGTTATGTTCTTTACTTCTTTTGTGCCCTTTTGTCATAGCATCTGTTAATGAAGTAATTGGATAGAAGGTGTTTAATAAAAAAATTGGGTGGTGTAAAATTTATATAGTACCTTAAGAAACATTTAGGTAAACCAGAACTTGGCTATTATTACTAAAAGGATAGTTTAGGGTAGATGGAGTGAAGTTGATTAGTTTTTAAAAGGTATGTTTTTCTGGTAATAGGATGATATTTATAACGATGTGTGTTTGAGATGTTTTATAGCATTAAATTTTGTATATTGTTTTAGTTGGGTGTTGTTTGTGTGAGGATAATTTTAGACTAATGAAATTTGATATCTAAAAACTAAAAATTTGAAATTATAGGTAAAAAAATTCTGAAAATGCTGTTAATGTTGATTCTGGTGATCAAAATAACACTGTTAGGAGTCAAAAGTTATGCCTCTTCTCCCACTTTCAAGATAAGCACATTTTACCACAGTTTCCTTACCTTTAAATGGGGGTAAGTGTGTTTACCTTGATGGGTTAATGTGAGAAATGAAATAATGTATTCAGTATTCAACACCTACTATGTACCAAGGCCCTGTGCTAAGTGAAGGATACAATAGTGATTAAGACAGTTCAATCTTTCTTGTCTTGAAGCATATATTCTAGCACTACTGTGAAAACATTATTCAGTCAAGTTGAATATTGACACATTCATGCTTCATTTATGTTTCAAGGAATAAGGTGCTTTTATATTTTATTTTTTAAGTAGATAACAAGTACAAGCACCAAAACTGTTTTTATGTCAAGCCATTTTTTTGATACACATTTTTTTTTTTTTGAGACGGACTCACTCTGTCGCCCAGGCTGGAATGCAGTGGTGCGATCTCAGCTTGCTGCAACCTCTGCCTCCCGGGTTCAAGTGATTCTCCTGCCTCAGCCTCCCGAGTAGCTGGGATTACAGGCGCCTGCCACCATGCCTGGCTAATTTTTTTTTTTTTTTTGTATTTTTAGTAGAGACAGAGTTTTACCATGTTGGCCAGGCTGGTTTTGGACTCCTGACCTCAAGTGATCTACCTGCCTTAGCCTCCCAAAGTGCTGGGATTACAGATGTGAGCCACCGTGCCTGGCCAGCAATTATATTTCTACATTCTATTCTGAATATCTGTTACTGTGACATGATAGTATGTTTCCATAACGTATATGCTTTTCAGGTTTTACCCACTTGCCCTTCCTCTTCCTGCCCTGCCCTTCTAATCTACTATATCCTTGGGAACCACATAAACTTGCTAAGAATTATTTGTGATATTACATCCAGTTAGATTTGAAGTGAGGGTCTAAAGGCACATATTTTCACTTTTGGGTTCAGGGCATCAGAAAATGAGTGGATATTACTATAATAAATAGCTTTATTTCTTTGTATAGTACTTCACGATTTCAGGATCATGGCTAAATGTGTCTGCCTGATGCTGTAAATGTTAATAAAAATCCACTCTATGAGTGAAAGAGATTAAGTGCAATTTGAATGCTAAGTAAAAATGAAATGTTTCTTTTAATTATTTCTTGTTCTTTTAAAAAACACATTAATGTGCACTTGAAATTAATAATCTTTAAAGTCTAATTAATGGTTAAGAACTGTTGGATATCTTATAAATAAGAAACTGAGCCAGGCACAGGGGCTCACGCCTGTAATCCCAGCACTTTGGGAGGCTGAGGCGGGCAGATCACGAAGTCAGGAGATTGAGACCATCCTGGCCAACATGGTGAAACCCCACCTCTACTAAAAATATGAAAATTAGGCAGGCATGGTGGTGTGTGCCTGTAATCCCAGCTACTCGGGAGTGAGGCAGGAGAATCACTTGAACCCCTGAGGCAGAGATTGTAGTGAGCCAAGACTGTGCCACTGTACTCCAGCCTGGCCACACAGTGAGACTCCATCTCAAAAAAAAAAAAAAAAAAAAAAAAAAGAAGAAACTGAATAGAGTAAAAATACTATTTTCAGATGTAAAAAGATGAAGGAACATTTACACGGTGGTGCCCCCCTCTTCACTTTCACCTAAGAGTCTATACAGAACATTTTGATTATAGTCTAAACTTTAAAAATTATGCTTTCATAAAATTAACATCCACATTGTAGAAGTTACGTTTGGATTAAACTGCAAGTGGGCACTACCCAAAGCAATCTACAGATTCAATGCAGTCCTATCAATGACATTCTATACCAATGACATTCTTCACAGAAATAGGGAAAAAAAAGTTAAAATTTGTATGGAACCATAAAGGACCTGGAATAGCCAAAGCAATCCTGAACAAAAAGGACAAAGCTGGAGACATCATACTATCAGACTTTAAAATATACTACAGAGTGATAGTAACCAAAACAGCATGGTACTGGTGTAAAAACAGACACATAGACCAAAGGAACAGAATCGAGAACCCAGAAATTAATCCTCATATCTACAGCCAACTGAGTTTTGAGAAAGGTCCCAGGAACATTTGCTGATGAAAGGACAGTATCTTCAAGAAATGTTTCTGGGAAAAAGGATATCCATATGCAGAAGAATGAAACTAGAGCCCCACCTCTTATTCTGTACAAAAATTAACTCAAAATGAATCAAAGACCTACATGTAAGACAGGAAACTATGGAACTGCTAGAAGAAAACATAGGGGAAATGTTTCAGGACATTGGTCTGGGAAAAAATTTTATAAATAAGACCTCAAAAGCACAGGCAAAAAAAGCAAAAATAAACAAGTGGATTATAGTAAACTAAAAAGCTTTTATACAGCAAAGGAAATAACCAACAGAATGAAAGGCAGCCTATAGAATGGGAGAAAATATTTGCAAACTGTTCATCTGACGGGGGATTAATATCTAGGATATACAAGAAACTCAAACATCTTAACAGCCAAATAAATAAATAAATAAATAAATAAATAACCCAGAAAAAAACAAAACAAAAAAAACCCTGCAAAAAATGCAATCTGATTAAAAAAAGATGGGATATTTCTCAAAAGAAGACATACAAATGGCCAAAAAATACATTAAACAATGTTCAGCATCATTAATCATCAGGAAAATGCAAATCAAAACCACAGTGAGGTATTCTCTTACCCCAGTTAGGATCACTGTTATCAAAAAGACAAAGAATGACAAATGCTGCCAAGGATGTAGAGAAAAGGGACCTCTTATATACTGTTAATAGGAATGTAAACAAGTACAGCCACTATGGAGAACAGTATAGAGGTTCTTTAAAGGACTACAGATAGAACTACCATATGATCCATCAATTTCACCACTCGGCACTTACCCAAAGAAAAGGAAATCAGTATATGGAAGAGACACGTGTACCATATTTACTGCAGCACTGTTCACAATAGCTAAGATATAGACTCAATCTAGGTGTCCAACAGCAGATTAATGGGCAAAGAAATTATGGTATATATGCATAATGGAATACTGTTCAGCCATAAAGAATGAAATCCTATCATTCATGGCAACATGGATGGAACTGAAGGACATTATATTAAGTGAAATAAGCCAGGAATGGAAAGTTAAACACTGCATGTCCTCACTATTATGTGGAAACTAAAAAAAGTTGGTTTCATAGAAGTAAAGTAGAACAGAGGATACTAGAGACTGGGAAGAGGCGGGGGAAGGGGATACAGGGAGAAATGTGTTATAGGATACAAAATTACAGCTAGATTGGAGAAATAAATTCTAGTCTTCTGTAGCATTGTAGGGTGACTATAGTTAACAGTAATATATAGTTTCAAATAGCTAGAAGGAGGATATTGAATGTTCTCAACACAAAGAAATGATAAATGTTCAAGATGATGGATATATTAATTATCTAATCTGATCACCATACATTATATGTATGGAGACATCACTATGTATCTCATAAGTATGTATAATTATTGTATGTCAATGTAAAATATAAAAGAAAATTTTAAAAATTGCAAATAAGAAAGCTCCTGAATTCTTATGTCATTCTTTTAATTAGTTAAATTTATTAAAGTATATTTATGTGTTATAAAGAATGTAATAATACAGAAAGGTAAAATGCGAAATTAAGCCTCATCACATTACTTCTCTAGTTTCTCTCTAGTGTTAACCACTTAAAAAATCTTTTTGTTTATTCTTTTGTATACAGTCATATATTTGATATATTTGAATATGTGTATGTGTATCATACAATACATCAGAGCTTGCAAATTGATGGACCACTGGCCCTAACTAACCAGTGTTTCATTAGTCCCCTACTGTATTTTAGAAAAAGTATTTGTTTCTAACACTTAAAAAAAGATATTTCATATAAAATCCATATTTTTTTTGCTTCTTAAGATTCAGCAACACACAACATGTTTCTCACATAATAGTTGTTTAGAGTTACTGTCTGCATAAGATAGAACATGCGTTCTTCAGTTTCCCACAGTTTCTGTTTAATACGTGTTGGCTGCCTGACCTTGATAGGCATTTGAGATTGTGATTCTTGCTCATACATAGTATTTTGCACTTTCTTCCTTCACTCCCTAACTCTGTAGCATATTTTGGACATCTTTTCATATTAGTGAAAATAATAGTGGTTAACTTTATTGAGAGCCTATGAAGTGTAAAATACTTTCTAGAGCCTGTTACAGAGCCTATTCATTTAATCCTCGTAATAATATGTTAGTGTTGTCACCATTTTACAGCTGAAGAAATTGTAGCAGAGAGAGATTAAGTAACTTGCTCAAGTTAGTGCAGTAAATGAACAGGCTGCAAATTGAATCTATGTAATCTGTCCGTAGAGTGTAAGCTCTTAACTACTACATGATACTCCTCTTTGGCATGTCAGAATTATTTCATAGAGATCTTCAAAGATGTTCATATACATATTTCACTTTAATGGGTCTTACTGCATTGTAGGTTATGCTATATTTAATTAGTCCCTAATTGATGGACATCGAGGTTTCTGATTTTTCAGAGACAGATGTTGTAGATAATAATATTATACATTTATCATTACAAGTTTATAAGTTTTTTATAATGTAAGATTACTATCTGTAGAATTTTGGGGTCAAGGGTATATGAACTTAAAAATTTTAATAGATAATTTACTTTCCAATAAGGATGTATTAATTAATATTCCCACCTTCATTGGGTATTAGCTTTTTAGCTTTACAAGTTCTTTTGAATATACTTCTTGAGTTACACAGGATCCTTTTATTAGGATTCTTTATTGCAAATGAGAGTTACTGAGCTCAAAATTAGCTTAAGTGAAGAGGGAAACTTACATAGCCATAGATTACAGAGGAGGAGCTGACTTAAGGGACTCAAATAATGTGATCGGGAAGAAATGTAATCATGAACTCTTACTCTCCATTTCAGTGCTCTGTTTTCTGAGTATGTTGCAGGCTGACTTTCTTCTTATAGTCAGAATTGTGAGGTTATAGAGGAGGGGTAGATTGAGAAGTTATAGTAATAGTTTCATGTTTCCCCTTCCCAATTAGTGAGTCCAGAGGAAATATTTTCTTTTTTTTTTTAAACTTTTATTTTAGTTTCAAGGGTACATGTGCAGGTTTGTTATATAGGTAAACTCATGTCAGAGGGGTTGTTTTACAGATTATTTCATCACCTAGCTACTAAGCCTGGTACCCAATAGTTATTTTTCCTGCTTATCCCTCTTCCCACCCCCTACCCTCAAGCAGGCCCCAGTGTCTGTCGTTCCCTTCTTTGTGTCCATGAGTTCTTTTAGCCCCCACTTATAAGTGAGAACATCTGGTATTTGGTTTTCTGTTCCTACATTAGTTTGCTGAGGATAATGACCTCCAGCTCCATCCATGTTCCCACAAAAGACATGATCTCATTTTTTTTATGGCTGCATAGTATTCCATGATGTATGTATACAAACCACATTTTCTTTATCCAGTTTGCCATTGGTGGGCATTTAGGTTGATTCCATGTCTTTGCTATTATGAATAGTGCTACAGTGAACATTCATGTGTATGTGTCTTTATGGTAGAATGATTTCTATTTCTCTGGGTATATACCCAGTAATGGAATTGCTGGGTTAAATGGTGGTCAGAGGAAATTTTTTTTTTCTCGTGACATTTGTATATAAACTTCCAGGATGCTCACCTGGCATGACTCACATGTCAATTTTGGAGCCCGTCATTGTAACCAGGAGGTTGAGGCTTGATTGGCCAGGTCTGTATCACATATCCATCCTTGGGAGTGGGGATACTAAATAGGTAACCTCACCAGAATCACATAGAGAGAGTATCTTAGTGTGGGCTGCTATAGCAAAATACTTAGACTGGGTAATTTATAAATAACAGAAATTTATTTCTTACAGTTCTGGAGGCCGGGAAGTCAAAGATCAAGGCACTAGCAGATCTGGTCTGGTGAGGGCCTGTTCCTCAGGGACAATGCCTTCTTAACTGTGGCTTTCTAGCTATGTCCACATATGTTGGAAGGGCAAGAGGGCTCCCTCAAGCCTCTTTTATGAGGGCACTAATCCCATTTATGAGGGTGGACCCCTTGTGACCTAATCTCCTCCAAAGGTTCTACTTCTTTAAGACCATCACAGGGTGGGGTGGGATAGGGGGTCTGGTTTCAACATTTTGGAGGGGGACGCACACATTCAGACCACAGCAGAGGGAACAAGGGAAGTCTTTAAAAGGAGAGGAGTTTCTGTCACTAAAAGGGGAAAAGTGTGCTGAGCAAGCAGACAACTTTTTTTTTAGAGGGTCCCTGAAGTCTTGATGCCTTTTTGCTTCATTCTTTTTTTCCCTGAGAATGTAGTTCATTATATCAGTCACTGTTTCTTCTTTCTCCTGCTTCTGCCATGAAAATGCTCCTCTGGCAGATAGTTTCAAATTGGAATTGGAATAAGTTAGGGTGTGGCAATCAATGGCTTAAACCTAGGCCCCTGTGATGTGAAGGGTGGTTAATTTGTATATCAGGAGAACTCACAATGATTGACCTCCACTTTTTCATACTCTATATAAAAGAGTGGTTCTCTAAAGACATTTTAGAATAGTAATACACACATAATTGAAATATTTTACCCATTTTTTAAAGAGCCCTTTATGTTGCTTTATTTTGAATTTATGATCACCTATGGGTCTTAGTCTTTTTTTCTACAAATGGTGCCTCCCAGTGTTTCCTAAATTTTGTTCTAGCAACACTTGTCCGGGAGATGTTATAGTATGTATTATATGAAAATGCTTTTACATGATCAAATAAATGTGGAAAGTGCCATATAATGCATCCCTCCATTTGGAGATTCACAGTATATGAAGGCATATTAAAGATGTGAGTAATAATTGTGGAACCTCTTAACCTGTATTTAGTCTAGTGCTTCCAAATTTATTTGAAAATTAAACACTTTTTCAAGATACACCTGAGTTCTGTTCAACACCTTTTTAGGAAATGGTGGTCTTTCCCCTGCAGATGATCTCTTGAAAATCTGTGTATGATTTTTATATGTATTCTTTTACTTTTTTTGCTGTAAAAATAATGGTTTTTCTACAATAATCTTTATTGTGAAAATTAATTATTTTACCCTGGATTTACCTTTAAAATATATAATTTTTTTTTCTAATCACCACCTCTTTTTTTGTTTGTCCTTTTTTTTCCTGTTAAAATGTTGACTGAATATATTCTTATTTGATTCTGAAAATCTATGATAGCAAAGACTAGAAACTGACCAGTCTTGGTTCTGTTACCACTATGTGGGGAAAGAACACTGGATGAAATTCTATTTTGGATTTTTTCAGTGGGAGTTTAGTATCATTATTTGTAAAATGGAAAGTTGAGTAGATGATCTCTAAAATCCCCTTCAGCTCTAAAATTTTATTAATCCTAAATCTGAGGAACATGCCTCATGTTTACCATTCCATCATTGCTGAAATCTATTAGTGACGGCAAAATTATTGATCTAAAGTGTTTTCCTTCAAACAGGAAAAATTACTAGAAAAAGACACAGACATTCATAACAAGTGTAAATGAAAATAAATGTCTGTTACTTCCACTGCACAATATGTGCAATTTTATTTCATTCAATATCATGTGCTACAGAGGTTCAAATTGCTAAATATATAGACCTTAGAAAAAATTATATGAACTTAAGTGTAATGACAGATTCCCACAATCAAGCTTAGAAGAATAATAGTGATTAAGGGGTATTTGAAGTATTACTTTTTCTTTTTAAATTTAAAATGTATTGCTACACTAGAGATCTGGAAAACAAAAAATTAGCACTCCCTCCAAAATAGTTATTATTTTGCTATTGTAAATTTAAAATAAAGCTGTTGTAAAATAAGACATAATACCTTTGATGAACAATATTATGTTTTAGGTTCACACAGATACTCAGAATAGTAGGTGGGCTCTGGATTAGACCACCTGGGTTTATACCTAAGTGAAGTTTTTAGAGTTACTTCTCTAAGCTTTAGTTTTTTTCATCTGTCAAATGGAAAATAATACTAATATGCCTGCCTTAGAGGGTTGTTGTGGTAAGTGAGATAATGAAGTAAACCTTTAATGAGTGTGCCCACATACTAAATATTCATGAAATGTTTGTTGTGTATTATAATACATTTGAATATAATTACCTTAATAAACAGGGCAACAGAAGCAACCTGTACAACTTTTGGGTATCTGACCTCAATCTTGGTGTATCCCCATGCCCTTTTCCCACTATTTTATCTTATTTTAGCAACATCATTAAGGTTCAATACTGAACTGGGGTTCTGCTTGATCTAAATTCTTGTCTTCCAGCTTAAGTTTTGGGCAGTTAGAGTTAGAAGATGCTATTTGTAGTGTAGTAACTAACAGCAAGAATTTGAGATTTTTGAGATATAGGTTTAAAGTAAAGTATGTATGGAAGACTGCCTCTGATAGTCTCTAAGGCTTGTTAAGACCTGTGGAGAAAATTCACATACATATATGTGGGTACTATGGTTATGGAATACTAAGTGTTCTAGTTAAAAAGTTAAAGTACCCTAGTTAAAAAGGTGTTTTTAAAGTTTGAAATATTATGCAACTGGGGCAGTAATGCAGGGTGGTAAAGTGATAGTAAAATAAAATATTTATATAGATGATTGTTGATTTGTAGTAGAGGAACTTTAAATTAGTAGATGAGGACCTTATATGTTTGAGGTTAAATAAACAATGATTTGGGGCATAAGGGAAATAAATATTATGTATAAAAGGGAAAAGATACTTTTAGAACTATCAGATGCTAAAAGAGAATCTATCAAATTTAGAGCATTGCCAAAGATAAGTTTTGGTAGAAAAGTTTGGGAATCATTAATTTAGTTTTTTAAAAAATTATTATTATACTTTAAGTTCTGGGGTACCTGTGCAGAACATGCAGGTTTGTTACATAGGTATACACGTGCCATGGTGGTTTGCTGTACCCATCAACCTGTCATCTACATTAGGTATTTCTCCTAATGCTATCCCTCCCGCAGCCCCCCACACCCCGACAGGCCCCAGTGTATGATGTTCCCCTCCTTGTGTCCATGTGTTCTCATTCTTCAACTCCCACTTATGAGTGAGAACATGTGGTGTTTGGTTTTCTGTTCTCGTGTTAGTTTGCTGAGAATGATGGTTTCCAGCTTCATCGATGTCCCTGCAAAGGACCTGAACTCATCCTTTTTTTATGGCTGCATCATATTCTACCGTGTATATGTGCCAACTTCTCTTTATCCAGTCTATCATTGATGGGCATTTGGGTTGGTTCCAAGTCTTTGCTATTGTGAACAGTGCCGCAGTAAACATACCTGTGCATGTGTCTTTACAGTAGAATGATTTATAATCCTTTGGGTATATACTCAGTAATAGGATTGCTGGGTCACGTGGTATTTCTGGTTCTAGATCCTTGAGGAATCACCACAGTGTCTTCCCTAATGATTGAACTAATTTACACTCCCAAGAGTGTAAAAGCGTGCCTATTTCTCTACATCCTCTCCAGCATCTGTTGTTTCCTGACTTTTTAATGATCACCATTCTAACTGGCGTGAGATGGTATCACATTGTGGTTTTGATTTGCATTTCTGTAATGACCAGTGATGATGAGCTTTTTTTCATATGTGTGTTGGCTGCATAAATGTCTTCTTTTGAGAAGTGTCTGTTCATATCCTTCACCCACTTTTTGGTGGGGTTGTTTTTTTCTTGTAAATTTGTTTAAGTTCTTTGTAGATTCTGGATATTAGCCCTTTGTCAGATGAGTAGATTGCAAAAACTTTCTCCCATTCTGTAGGTTGCCTGTTCACTCTGATGGTAGTTTCTTTTGCTGTGCAGATGCTCTTTAGTTTAATTAGATCCCATTTGTCAATTTTGGCTTTTGTTGCCATTGCTTTTGGTGTTTTAGACATGAAGTCTTTGCCCATGCCTATGTCCTGAATGGTATTGCCTAGGTTTTCTTCTAGGGTTTTTATGGTTTTAGGTCTTACATTTAAGTATTTAATCTGTCTTGAGTTAATTTTTGTGTAAGGTGTAAGGAAGGGGTCCAGTTTCACTTTTATGCATATGGGTAGCCAGTTTTACGAACACCATTTATTAAATCCTTTCCCCATTTCTTGTTTTTGTCAGGTTTGTCAAAAATAAAATGGTTGTAGATGTGTGATGTTATTTCTGAGGCCTCTGTTCTGTTCCATCGGTTTATATATCTGTTTTGGTACCTGTACCACGCTGGTTTGGTTACTGTAGCCTTGTAGTATAGTTTGAAGTCAGTTAGCATGATGCCTCCAGCTTTGTTCTTTTTGCTTAGGATTGTCTTGGCTATGTGGGCTCTTTTTGGTTCCATATGAAATTTAAAGTAGTTTTTTTTTTTTTAATTCTGTAAAGAAAGTCAATGGTAGCTTGATGAGGATAGCATTGAATCTATAAATTACTTTGGGCAGCATGGCTCACCATACTGATTCTCCCTATCCATTAGCATGGAATGTTTTTCCATTTCATTGTGTCCTCTCTTATTTCCTTGAGCAGTGGTTTGTAGTTCTCCTTAAAGAGGTCCTTCACATCCGTTGTAAGTTGTATTCCTAGGTATTTTATTCTCTTTGTATCACTTGTGAATGGGAGTTCACTCATGATTTGGTTGTTTGTCTGTTAATGGTGTATAGGAATGTTTGTGATTTTTGCACATTGATTTTGTATCCTGAGAGTTTGCTGAAGTTGCTTATCAGCTTAAGGAGATTTTGGGCTGAGACGATGGGGTTTTCTAAATATACAATCATGTTATCTGCAAACAGAGACAATTTGACTTCCTCTTCCTATTTGAATACACTTTATTGCTTTCTCTTGCCTGATTGCCCTGGCCAGAACTTTCAATACTATGTTGAATAGGAGTGTGAGAGAGTGCATCCTTGTCTTGTGCTGGTTTTCAAAGGGAATGCTTCTGGTTTTTGCCCATTCAGTATGATGTTGGCTGTGGGTTTGTCATAAATAGCTCTTATTATTTTGAGATACATTCCATCAATACCTAGTTTATTAGTTTTTAGCATGAAGGGGTGTTGAATTTTGTCGAAGGCCTTTTCTGCATCTACTGAGATAATCATGTGGTTTTTGTCATTGCTTCGGTTTTGTGGTAGATTACATTTATTGATTTGTATATGTTGAACCAGCATTGCATCCCAGGGATGAAGCTGACTTGATCATGGTGGAAAAGCTTTCTGATGTGCTATTGGATTCGGTTTGCCAATATTTTATCGAGGATTTTTGCACTGATGTTCATCAGGGATATTGGCCTGAAATTTTCTTTTTTTGTTGTGTCTCTGCCAGGTTTTGGTATCAGGATGATACTGTCCTCATAAAATGAGTTAGGGAGGATTCCCTCTTTTTCTATTGTTTGCAGTAGTTCCAAAAGGAATGGTACCAGCTCCTCTTTGTACTTCTGGTAGAATTCAGCTGTGAATCCTTCTGGTCCTGGACTTTTTTTGGTTAGTAGGCTATTACTGCCTCAATTTCAGAACTTGTTACTGGTCTATTCAGGAATTCCACTTCTTTCTGGTTTAGACTTGGGAAAGTGTATGTGTCCAGGAATTTATTAGTTTCTTCTAGATTTTCTAGTTTATTTGCATAGAGGCGTTTATAGTATTCTCTGATGGTAGTTTGTATTTCTGTGGGATCAGTGGTAATATCCCCTTTATCCCCTATTTGATTCTTCTCTCTTTTCTTCTTTATTAGTCTGGCTAGTGTTTTATCTATTTTGTTGATCTTTTCAAAAAAAAAAAAACAGCTCCTGGATTCATTAATTTTTTTGAGGAGATTTTCATGTCTGTATCTCCTTCAGTTCTGCGCTGACCTTAGTTATTTCGTGTCTTCTGCTAGCTTTTAAAATTGTTTGCTCTTTCTTCTCTAGTTCTTTTAATTGTGATGTTAGGGTATCGATTTTATATCTTTCCTGCTTTCTCTTGTGGGCCTTTGGTGCTATAAATTTTGCTCTAAACAATGCTTTAGCTGTGTCCCAGAGATTCTGGTACGTTGTGTCTTTGTTCTCATTGGTTTCAAGGAACTTATTTATTTCTGCCTTAATTTCATTATTTACCCAGTAGTCATTCAGGGGCAGGTTGTTCAGTTTCCATGTAGTTGTGTGGTTTTGAGTGAGTTTCTTAATCCTGAGTTCTAATTTGATTGCACTGTGGTCTGAAGACTGTTTGTTATGATTTCCATTCTTTTGCATTTACTGAGGAGTGTTTTACTTCCAATTATATGGTCAATTTTAGAGTAAGTGTGATGTGGTCCTGAGAAGAATGTATATTCTGTTGGTTTGGGGTGGAGAGTTCTGAAGATGTCTATTAGGTCTGCTTGGTCCAGAGCTGAGTTCAAGTCCTGAATAACCTTGTTAATTTTCTGTCTCGTTGATCTGTCTAATATTGACAGTGGGGTGTTAAAGTCTCCCACTATTATTGTGTGGGAGTCTAAGTCTCTGTAGGTCTCTATGAACTTGCATTATGAATCTGGGTGCTCCAGTATTGGGTGCATATATATTTAGGATAGTTAGCTCTTCTTTTGCATTGATCCCTTTACCATTATGTAATGTCCTTCTTTGTCTCTTTTGATCTTTGTTGGCTTAAAGTCTGTTTTATCAGAAACTAGGATTGCCACTTCTGCTTTTTTTGCTTTCCATTTGCTGTGTAAATATTCCTTCATCCCTTTATTTTTAGCCTATGTGTGTCTTTGCATGTGAGATGGGTCTCCTGAATACAGCACACCAATGGGTCTTGACTCTTTATCCAATGTGGCAGTCTGTGTCTTTTAATTGGGGCATTTAGCCCATTTACCTTTAAGGTAAATATTGTTATGTGTGAATCTGATCCTGTCATTATGATACTAGCTGGTTATTTTGACCGTTAGTTGATGCAGCTTCTTCATAGTGACGATGGTTTTTACAATTTGGTGTGTTTTTGCAGTGGCTGGTACTGGTTGTTCCTTTCCATGTTTAGTACTTCCTTCAGGAGCTCTTGTAAGGCAGGCCTCGTGGTGACAGAATCTCAGCATTTGCGTGTCTGTAAAGGATTTTATTTCTCCTTCACTTGTGAAGCTTAGTTTGGCTGGATATGTGGTAATTCTGGGTTTAAAATTCTTTTCTGTAAGAGTGTAGACTATTGGCCCCCACTGTCTTCTGGCTTGTATGATTTCTGCCGAGAGATCTGCTGTTAGTCTGATGGCCTTCCTTTGTGGATAACCCGACCTTTCTCTCTGGCTGCCATTAACATTTTTTCCTTCATTTCAACCTCAGTGAATCTGTCGATTATGTGTCTTGGGGTTGCTCTTCTCAAGTAGTATCTTTGTGGTGTTCTCTGTATTTCCTGAATTTGAATGTTGGCCTGTCTTGCTAGGTTGAGGAAGTTCTCCTGGATAATATCCTGAAGAATGTTTTCCAACTTTGTTCCATTCTCCCCATCACTTTCATGTACACCAATCAAACGTAGGTTTGGTCTTTGTTAACATAGTCCCATATTTCTTGGAGGCTTTGTTTGTTCCTTTTCATTTTTTTTTCTAATCTTGTCTTCATGTTTTATTTCATTAAGTTGATGTTCAATCTCTGATATCATTTCTTCTGCTTGATCAATTCGGCTGTTGATACTTGTGTATGCTTCACAAAGTTCTTGTGCTGTGTTTTTCTGCTCCATCAGGTCATTTATGTTCTTCTCTAAACTGGTTATTCTAGTTAGCAATTTGTCTAACCTTATTTCAAGGTTCTTAGCTTCTTGCATTTGGTTAGAACATGCTCCTTCAGCTCGGAGGAGTTCATTACTACCCACTTTCTGAAGCCTACTTTTGTCAATTCATTAGACTCATTATCCGTCCAGTTTTGTTCCCTTGCTGGCGAGGAGTTGTGATCCTTTGGAGGAGAAGAGACGTTCTGGTTTTTGGAATTTTCAGCATTTTTGTGCTGGTTTCTCCCTATCTTTGTGGATTTATCTACCTTTGTTCTTTGATTTTGGTGACATTCAGAAGGGGTCTGTGAGTGGACGTCCTTTTTGTTAATGTTGATGCTATCCCTTTCTGTTTGTTAGTTTTCCTTCTAACACTCAGGCCTCTCTGCTGAAGGTCTGCTCTAGTTTGCTGGAGGTCCACTCCAGACCCTCTTTGCATAGGTATCACCAGTGGAGGCTGCAGAATGGTAAAGATTGCTACCTGTTCCTTCCTCTGGAAGCTTCATCCCAGAGGGGCACCTGCCAGATGCCAGCCAGAGCTCTCCTGTATGAGGTGTCTGTCGACCCCTGCTGGGAGGCATGGGGGTCAGGGACCCACTTGAGGCCGTCTGTCCCTTAGCAGAGCTCAAGCACTGTGCTGGGGGATCTGCTCCTGTCTTCAGAGCTGGCAGGCAGGGACGTTTAAGTCTGCTGAAGCTGTGCTCACAGCCACCCCTTCCCCTAGGTACTCTGTCCCAGGGCGATGGAGGTTTTATCTATAAGCCCCTGACTGGGGCTCCCACCTTTTTTTCAGAGATGCCCTGCCCAGAGTGGAGGATTCTAGAGAGGCAGTCTGGCTACAGCGGCTTGGCTGAGCTGCAGAGGGTTCCGACGGGTTGGAACTTCCCTGGGCTTTGTTTACACCGTGAGGGGAAAACTGCCTACTCAAGCCTCAGTAATGGTGGACGTCCCTCCTTGCACCAAGCTGGAGTGTCCCTGGTCAACTTCAGACTGCTGTGCTGGCAGGGAGAATTTCAAGCCAGTCGATCTTAGCTTGCTGGGCTCCTTGGGGGTGGGTTCCCCTGAGCTAGACCACTTGGCTCCCTGGCTTAAGCCCCCTTTCCGGGGGAGTGAATGGCTCTGTCTTGCTGGTGTTCCAGGTACCACTGGGGTATGAAAAAAAAACAAAACAAAAACCTCCTGCAGCTAGCTCGCTGTCTGTCCAAACGACCACTCAGTTTTCTGTTGAAACCCAGGGCCCTGGTGGCACAGGCACCAGAGGGAATCTCCTGGTCTATGGGTTGTGAAGACCAAGGGAGTGTACGGTCTACTGAGCCTGAGTGCACAGTTCCTTACAGCACAGTCCCTCAGGGCTTCCCTTGGCTACGGATGGGAATTCCCTGACCCTTTGTGCTTCCTGGGTGAGGCAATGCCCCACCCTGCTTCTGCTCGCCCTCTGTGGGCTGCAACCACTGTCTAACCAGTCCCAATGAGATGAGCCAGGTACCTCAGTTGGAAACACACAAATCACCTGCCTTCTGCGTTGATCTCGCTGGGAGCTGCAGATCGAAGCTGTTCCTATTCGGCCATCTTGCCAGCAACTCAGCCCACTGTTTTCTTGTTTGTTTGTTAGATTTTTTTTTTTTTTTTTTTTGATACGGAGTCTCTCTCTGTTCCCCAGACTGGAGTGCAGTGGTGCTATCTCAGCTCACTGCAGCCTCCGCCTCCCAGGTTCAAGTAATTCTCTTCCCAAATAGCTGGGATTACAGGCACCTGCCACCATACCTGGCTGAGTTTTGTACTTTTAGTAGAGAAAGGGCTTCGTCATGTTGGCCAGGCTGGTCTTTAATTCCTGACCTCAGGTGATCCACCCGCCTTAGCCCCCCAAAGTGCTGGGATTACAGGCATGAGACACCATGCTTGGCCAAATTTAGGTTTATACTGGACTTGGATTTTCAAATTTTCTTTTGCAGGTGAGTTTGTGAAGTGTTAATTTTAAAAAATTGCCAGGAGTCTGAGGCAGGAGAATCACTTGAACCTGGGAGGCGGAGGTTGCAGTGAGCCAAGATCACACCATTGCACTCCAGCCTGGGCTACAAGAGTTAAACTCCCTCTCAAAACAAACAAACAAAAAAATTGTCAATTATGCATCACAATGAAACATTCATTTCTGATTTTTAGCACAATTCAGGAGTAGGTCATATAATACATGACAAACTCAAAGATGAATAATGCAGTCTTCCCAAATAGTAGAAACTTTTAAGCAGCTGAATGGTAATGGATCTAATTTTGTTATTTTATTGTTTTTCTGTCTATGAGTGATATATTGGTCTGACCATAGCCTGACTTGTTAACAAACAATACAGCTCAACTCAATATGTAGTGTATCATGTACTTTGCATGGTGTTAGGCTAAAACTACTAAGTATTTATAATGTTATGCTTTAAGTATGATTAGTTGATTGTAAAATGGTTCACATTTTAAGGTATTTTTATATTGAAACCCTTGCCAAGTACTGTATGACAGGGTTTTCAAAACTTTTTTAGTAAAAGACTAGATAGTGAATTTTTAGGCTTTGTGAGCTGTATATGATTTCTCTCACAACTATTCAGCTCTGCCCTTGTAGCATGAAAGCAGCTGTAGACAGTGTATAAATGAATGAGCATTATAGTGTCCCACCGAAATTTTAGTTATAAAAAGAAATGGCAGGCCAGAATTGGTCTAAGGGCTGTAGTTTGCCAACTCCTACTCAAGACGTAGCCTGTTGTAAGGGAAATATAATTCCAAGTTACCTGCATGTGAATCGAACTTTTATATTAGTTAACATTTGCATTACAAAACATCACAAAATTTAGTTACTTGAAACTACGATTTAGTATTTTTCACATTTCTGTGAACTAATTTGGTTCTGCTTCCGGTGGCATTTGTTGGGGTTCTGATAGAGCTGTGATATCTGGAGGCTCAACTGGGATTGTTGGCCAGGGCTTTGGTTCTCCTACATGTGGGTCTTTCTATATGGCTGATTCCTTAGCCTCATGGTGTGATAGTTGGGTTATAAGAAGTATTCTAAGAGCAAGCATTGTGAGACAGAGGAAGCAGAAGATGCCAGGCCAAGGGATAGGCCTGAAACTTTCACAGCATCACTTCTGCCATTATTCTGTTGGTCAAATAGTCACAGGCTCAGCCCAGAGTCTTTGTGGGAAGAGACTACCCAAGGGTGTAAATGCTAGGAAGCATGGTTAATTGAGGATATTCAAACTATCCTCAGTATATCATGAGATTGTTTTGGTTGCAAGTGACAACTCAAATTGAACTAGCTTTAGTAAAAGGGAACAATTATTATAAGAATATTGGGGTGTCTGCCTCACAAAACCCAAACACAAGATTGGGTCCTAGGAACATTGGACCCAGGGTTGAAGATTCCCGAGGACTGTTTCTCATCTTTGCTCTACCCTGTAAGTAGTCTTCATTTTCTCTTATCACAAACTTCCCTTCTCCACTTTGGGAAAAACAGTGTCAACACTTCCCTAATTATTTACATATTACCATTTTAGCCATTCAGAGGACTGACTTTATTTTTGCAGTGTTTCTAAAATGTTTGAGGAAGAATGCTGATTGTCCTAGATCAGTCATCTGTGATCAGAGGATAGAGCTTAGGTTCTACAAACCATGTTGGCAGGAACAGGATCAGTTAACATCAAAGGGATGCTGAGTGTGTAGTCGCCGAATAGTCAGTCCACTTGCCTTCTCCCTAGCCATCTATTTGTTAACAAGTTAATAATTTGTTAATTAATAAATGTTTTTTTCCCCATTACAGGCCTAATTTACTTCTTTATTCAGCTCTCTGCCTATGGCTATTTCATTGTTCTACTGGTGTGTAAGCAAAAGTAAGAACTGAAATTAATTCAGTATCTTGAATATTTATTGTAATCTCTTCCTGCTTTGAGTAGAGGATGGCAGCTTTTAGTATCTGCTATCTTACTTTGCCACCATAAACATAGAATAGTATGTAAAGATGATCTTACTCTGTTGCCACCATTGATTTCCAGGTTTGACTTAGCTGATCTGGTTGGCTGAATGGGTATATCCTTCCTTTGGAAAGGGACCACGTGCATACATGAAAGCAAGTAGCTAAAATACAGAATGAAATAAAAGCTGTAATAGAAGTACAAGCAACATGCCGTGGGTGCACAGAGGAAGGAACAATTAATTTTGACTGAATGGCTGTAGGAGGGATGGCATTTTAAGGAAGGTAGTGTTTCAGTAAGGCCTGGAAGAATGAATAACTTATCCTTAGAAAAGAAAGGGAAGGTAATCTGGCTGTCAAGTTTCTCATCTGCTGAAACGGTGGTACCAGAGTGTCTAGGCTAAAGTAGATGAACTTAAATATAGGTATAGGACATTCAGGATAAATGGCAGCATGCAGTTGTCTGATTTTAGCCATCTTAAATTGGAATTACAGGAGTGAACACAGTTTTGTTACAGTTACGCCTTAGGTGACTATCTGGTAATTTGAAATTTGAGACTTCAGTTTTTAAAATTAAGCAGTTTATTTCAAATACTCAGATTTTTGGATATAGGAAGAAATTTAAGGATTATCTATACTAACACACTCTAGTAGGTAAAGAAACTAAGACCTAGTTAGATGATTTATTTGAGCTTACGTATCTAAATGACTGAGTTGGGGCTAAAATACCTTTCTCCTGGTCTTGGGTATTTTTGAAGAATTATCCAGTGTATCCTTTATTGTAAGAAGATTTTCTCCAAGTATACATCCATATGAATTGCTTGCTGTAGTAGCAATTTTTAAATTTGAGATATAACATGCATATAGTAAAATGTACAGATGTTAATTGTATAGCATGGTGAGTTTTTTATGTGTACAAACTCTTACAATTAACACTCAGATCAAGATGTAGAACATCTCCAGCACTCCAGAAGCCTCTCCTTCATGGTTTTCACAGGTTAACTAATATCCACTTCTCCTGTCACTCCCAAGTAATTATTATTCTGATTTTTATTATCATAGATTAGTCTTTCCTGTTCTTGCACTTCATGTAAAGGGAATGACTTCTTTCGTTTATTATGGTTATGACATTCATCCATGATGTTGGTATACCTTGGTTCTTTTTATTGCTATGTAGTGTTTCATTGAATGAATGGATCATTATTTATTCTTCTGTTAATGGACATTTGAATTGTTTCTAATTTTTGACTTACAAAGAAAACCTGCTATGAATATTCTCGTGTATTTCTTTTTATGAATATATTGTTTCATTTTTAAGAGTATAATTGTTGGATGGTTGTCTTCCAAAGTGGCTGTACCATTTTACATCCCCACCAGCAATGTAGGAGGGTTTGAGTAGTTCTACATTTTTGTCAATATTGTGTATTGTCAGTCTTTTTAATTTCAGTCATTCTGGTCAGTGTGCACTGGCTTCTCCTTTTCATTTCCCAGGCAAATAATGATGGTGATCACCTTTTAATATTAATTTTTGACATATTTTAAAGTTATTCTGTCTTTGTCTTATGGATTTATAGGAATTCCTTATGTATTCTGAATATGAGACCTTTGCATGGCAAATTTCTTCTCCCAGTCTGAGGCTAGTCATTTCACTCTCTTAATAGTGTATTATAATAAATAAAAGTTTTCAATTCTAATGAACCTTAACTTATCAAGTTTGCTTTTTATGGTTTAGTTGGTTTGTTAATGTTTTGTTTAAGAAATCTTTGCCTATTACAGGATCATGAAAATATTCTCCAAAGTTTTCTTTTTGAAATTGTATTACTTTCTTTTTTACTCAAAGCTCTATGATGCATTTCAAATTATCTTATAATGAATGATGTGAGGTAAAAACCAGGAATTTTTAAAATAAAACATAGGATATTCAATTGATTTGGCCCCATTTTTTGAAAAAAAAATTGCCCTTAAACCATTGGATTATAGAACACTTTTGATATAAATCAGGTGAGTCTTACTAGAGTGTATATGCTCTTCCACTGGTCTATTTATGTACAAATACTACCCTGTCTTAATTACTGTAGCTCTATACTAAATCTTGGTATCTGGTGGTATAAGTTCCTTCAATTTTATTTCTTCTTCAACATTTTTTTTTGTGGTGGGTATACTCTATCCTTTGTGTTTCCATATACATTTAGAATCATATTTCAGTGAAAACAAAACTGTTAATATTATGATTGGGATTGCATTGAGGCTATAGATCAATGTGGGGAGAATTGGCATCTTAACAATATAGAGTCTTCTAGTCCATGAACATGGATTATCTATCCATTTACTTGGGTCTTTAAGTTCTTTCAGCAGTATTTTTTGGTTTACAATGTAGAGGTTTCGCATATCATTTGTTAGCGTTATGGCTAGCTATTTTAATGTTTTGAAAGTGCTATTGTAAATGGTATTCGTTATTTAAATTTCATTTTGAATTGTTTAATACATAGAATTACAGTTGTATTTTTATCTTATAAGCAGCAACCCGCTAAATTTGCTTATTTTTAATATTTAATATTTTATAGATTTTTTGTATTTCCTATGCAAACAACCAAATCATCTGAGAATAGTAACTATTTTACTTATTTCTTTCCAGTCTTTATAATTGTTTCTTTGTTTTCCCTTATTGCAATGGCCAAGGCTTCTAGAACAATGTTTAATTGAAATAGTCTCACTCCTAAACTTAGGGGAAAATGTTCAATATTTACCAATTATGATGTTAGTTGTAAGTTTTATAGGTAACCTTTATCAGATTAAAGAAGTTCTTATCTATTCCTAGTTTTCTTTTCTTTTTTGAAAAAAATTTTATAGAGAGAGGGCCTTGCTCTGTTGCCCAGACTGGCCTTGAACTCCTGGCTCAAATGATATTCCCACCTCGGCCTCCCAAAGTGCTGGGATTACAGGTGTGAGCCACTGCGCCCAGTCTGATAGTTTTCTAAATCATGAATAGGTGGTAAACTTTGTCAAATTTTTTGCTTTTGTTGAGATAAATCATATGGTTGTATCCTTAATTCTGTGATGTGGTGAATTACATTGATTGATTTTTAAATGTTAAACCAACTTTATACTCCTAGGATAAACGTTACTTTGTCATAATGTATTGTCCCTTTTATGTACCATTAGATTCAATTTGTTAATATTCTCTTTAGAATTTTTACATCTATTCATGAAAGATATTGGCCTGTAATAGTCCTTTATTATAATATTTTTGTCAGATTTTGTTATCAATGTTTGTTAGCCTTGTAAAAAGAATTGGGAAGTCTCTCTCTGTTTTATTTCAAAGTGTTTGTGATAGATTGATACGTTTCATGTGTACTTGAATTGGGAAGTCTCTCTCTTTTTTATTCTCTGAAAGCATTTGTGATTGATAGATTCATACACTTCATGTGTACTTGAATGTTGATTCTGCAGTCTTTGGTGTTAATGTTCTTTGTCAGTAAGGTCATATTGGTTAATCAAGTTGTTCAAATCTTCAAATGACTGATTTCTTTTTTCCTGTTCTCTCAGTTTTGAGAGTAGTGTCTTAAAATTATAAACTATGACTGTAGTTTTGTTGACTTTTAGTTCTTTCAGTTTTCCCCTCATGTAGTTGGAAGCTCTTACTAGGTGAATTAAAACTTGGCATTGTTATTTTACGGTTGAAATGACCTTTTTGTCATTATGAAATGACCTTCTTTATCTCTGGTAATATTTCTTGCCTTCAAGTCTACTTTTACCTTCTATTAATATAGTCACTCTTTCTTTTCATCAATACTTCCATGGTATGATTTTTTCTTCTTTTTAGTTCAGCCAATCTATATTCTTGTATTTACAGTATATCTCTTGGAAATGTCATATAGTCAGGTCATGTTTGTTTTATCTAGTTTGACAATCTTTGTGCTTTAGTTGTAATAGGTATTCTATTTACATTTAATGTGGTTACTAGTATAGTTGGGCATAAATCTTTTATCTTACTGTTTCTTTTCTATTTGTCCCATCCATACTTTGGGTGTTTAAATTTCTTTCCTGCCTGTATTATTTGTCAGGTTTTCTAAACTCCATTTTGGCTCATTAGCTTTTCAGTTATACATTCTTCTGTGGTTATTTTTTAGTTATCTTAGAGATTTTAATAAATCTTGATTTTTTTTAGTGTATCTTAATGTTTTACCACTTCCCAAACAATGCAAAACTTAGGACAGTTTAACTTTGTTTATTCCCTCCTGCCCTTTGTGCTATTTTTTTCATATTTTATTTCAATATATGATACAAACCACATAATTTTTTTGTAAACAGTTAATATTCTTTTATATTTATCCACATGTGTACCCTTTCTAATGCTCATAATTCATTTTTACAGTTCTTTGCTACCATCCAGGATAATTTTCCTTTAGCCTGAAAAAATTCCTTTAATATTTCTTGTAGTGCCAGTCTCTTTGAGGCAGATTTTCTCAGCTTTTGTCTGAAATCCCTTTATTTTGACTTCTTTTTTGAAGGAAAAACTTATTGGTACAGAATTCTGGGCTGGCATGTGTTGCTGTTTTGAGACAGGGTCTCGCTCTGTTACTGAGGCTGGAGTGCAGTGGTGTGATCATAGCTCACTGCAGCCTCTAACTCCTAGGCTCGAGCGATCCTCCTACCTTATCCTCTCAAGTAGCTGGGAGTACAGGTGGCACCACTGTGCTCAGCTAAATTTTTTGTTTTAGGTTTTGTAGAGATGGGGTCTCACTATGTTGACCAGGCTGGTCTCAAACTCCTGGCCTCAAGCTATCTTCCTGCCTCAGCCTCCCAAAGTGTTGGGATTACAGGTGTGAGCCACCATGTCCAGCCTGAATCTTTTATTCTTATAGCACTTCAGATATGTAATTCCTTTGTTTTTCCTTATTGTTGCTCCTTTAAGGAGTGTGCGTTTTTTTGGCTGCATTTAAGATTTTTATTTTTGTCTTTAGTTCATTAATAGTTTGTATGGTGCCTAGGCATGGGTTTCTTTGCATTTATCATGTTTGGGGTTTGCTGGGTTAATGGTTTTTTTTTTATCAGCCTTGGAAAAATTTGTATTTTATATCTTTATATTTTGCTTCTACCCCAATCTCTCTCTCCTCTAAACTGTGTTAGGCGTTTTGACTGTCCCACATGTCTCATGTGGTTATTCTGTCTTTTCTCTCTGTGGTTCAATTTTGTATTTTTTGTTGAGCTATTTTTTAAACTTACAATTTCTCTCCTCTTCTGTGCCAGGTTGAATAACCTATCCAATAAGTTTTAATAGCTTATTTTCTCAGCTCTAGGAAGTTTTATTATTTTTAAATAGGTTTCCTTTTTTGTTGATTATCTCCATCCTTTTATAAATTTTATTCATTTTTTTTCCTTCCCTTTCATTAGCCTATGGATAATGGCTATTTTAAAGCCATTGTCTCCTAACTCCACTATCAGTGTCATCTCTAGCTTTGCTTTTAGTCTTGATTACAGGTCATTTTTTCTTGTTTTTTTTTTTTCACATATATTGTATGTGAAAAACATACAATATATGTTTTGAAATACAATATATGAAATTAATAAATTTCACATTTATTATATGCTGAAACTTGTAATAATTTATGTAGAGGCTGAAGGTGATATCTTCCACCAGAGATGATTCCCCTTTTTAGTTGTTAGGCCAATTTAATTAGAGTTTTATTAGGGTCAGTCTGCATTGCAGTTTTAGTAAGATTTAGTCTATCTCTGGTTTGTCTCCATTGACATACTCAGATTTTTGATTGAAAGACTGTCAGATTTCTTCTCCACAGCCCTGAAAGACTGCAGGAGATCTAATTCTGTTCTTTAGAGGTTTTGAGATTAGCCCGGTAATCTCTTGGTTTATTTACAGTGCTTTAAATTCATGCAAATGTGGGAGGTCTGTCATGTGTTTTTTGCGGTTTGTCCCCTGTTTCTAGGAAGGCTTTTTTTCTGGTAAGCACTGTAATACTGAGGGAGATTTCACTCTGCCCTTCTAGCACGTCTCCCAGCCTCCTTCATTACTTAGAATTCAGCAAATGTTCCTTTCAACCTTGCATTTGGGGCTTTCTAGTTTTCAGACTACTGCATGAAAAAGCTCAGCTGCTTTCTACTTTCTTTTTTTTTTTTTTTTTTTTTTGAGACAGAGTTTCGCTCTTGTTGCCCAGGCTGGAGTGCAATGGCGTGATCTCGGCTCACTGCAACCTCCGCCTCCCGGGTTCAAGCGATTCTCCTGCCTCAGGTTCCTGAGTAGCTGGGATTACAGCCATGTGCCACTATGGCTGGCTAATTTTGTATTTTTGGTAGAGACGGGTGTTGGTCAGGCTTCGTGTTGGTCAGGCTGGTTTCGAACTCCTGACCTCAGGTGATCTGCTCACCTCGGCCTCCCAAAGTGCTGGGATTACAGGTGTGAGCCACCACGCCCAGCCTGCTTTCTACTTTCACCAGTGGAGTCTTTCTGTCTGGGCCAATCTCAGTTCTCAGTCTCTGTCCAGAATTTTCAAATGCTCCCAGGAAATAAAATAGGAGATGGTTATCTGCACACCTAGGAAGGGCTCTTCTCTTTCTAGAATTTCAGTTCATCTACTTCTTGTTCTTTCATAAGCACTCTGGTGTCTTAAAAATTGGATTGAAATTCATCTTTTTCTAGTTGTTGAAGCATTAAAATAACTGCTGTCCTTAAAGTTTGAAACAGCAAAATCTATTTGTTTTTCTGATTATAAAAGTAATACACAATGTATTGTGTACTTCTGCTAAGTTATGCTGCATAACAAATGACCTCTATTTCAGCAGCTCACAACAACAATTGCTTATTTTTGCTCTTGCTTCATGTTGGCTGAAGGTTGGCAGTGGCTCTGCTCGTGCTCCACATATCTTCTAATTCTGAGATCCAGGCTAGAGAACAACTTCTATTTGGGCCATGCTGTTCTTGTAACAGAGGGAAAAAAGAAAATGATTTGGCAGGAATACACAGTGGCTCTTAAAACTTCTGCTTGGATGTTTGTTTATATACCATTGGCCAAAGCAAACCAGTGGCCAAGGCCAAAGTCAGTGGAGCAGGGATGTTACTCTTATGGGAGTGCTGTCAGTTACATAGGAACAGGTGTGGATGATGCTCCTTTTGAAGGAAAGTGGAGTGAATAATTACAAATTGTGATAGAATCCACCACACATGCTAATTGAAAATAAATTAAATAGAGATGTATAATGTTTATAGTAGAATTCTTCCTTCTGTCTTCCGTGATAATCAGTGATGATACTTTGGTGTATGTTCAGGACTGAAACCTTCTTATTGTGCTAACTTGATGGTTTCTTTAAAAATAATAGTCTTGACATAAATTATGAATAAGACTTGTTTTTTTAGCCATATACTCAGAAGAACACTAGAGTTCTCCAACTGGCTACGCTTAGTTCTTGCTTTGCCAGGTAGTCCCACGCTTACTATAATGTTCAATTTAGAGTTCTAAGTATAAAATATTTTTACTTATTTATTTATTTTTGTGACAGAGTCTTGCACTGTTGTCCAGGCTGGAGTGCAGTGGTGTGATCTCGGCTCACTGCAGCCTCCACTTCCTGGGTTCAAGTGATCCTCACGCCTCAACCTCCTGAGTAGCTGGGATTACAGGTGTGAGCCATGGTGCCTGGCTAATTTTTTTTTCTTTTTTTCCTTTTCTGAGACGGAGTCTCCCACTGTCACCCAGGGTGGAGTGCAGTGGCACGATCTTGGCTCACTGCAACCTCTGCCTCCCGGGTTCAAGTGATTCTCGTGCCTCAGCCTCCTGAGTAGCTGGAATTACAGGTGTGAGCCATCAAGCCTGGCTAATTTTTGTAATTTTAATAGATACAGGGTTTCTCCATGTTGGTCAGGCTGGTCTTGAATTCCTGGCTTCAAGCGATCCACCCACCTTGGCCTCCCAAAGTCCTGGGATTGCAGGTGTGAGCCGCTGCACCCAGCCTGAAATATCTTTAACACAAGTTTGGGTCTGATCCATGGCATGTTAGTGTCATCACTTTTTCATTCTCTGAGAGAAAGATAAGAAAAATGGAATTCTAAGATTTTGTAAAGGATATGTGTTTTTAAGGGAGAAGGTACTAGAAATAATAAAAGTCAAGAACCAAAAGTTCTTAGGTCAATTATTTTGACCTAAATATATTTCACAATAGAGGTTCAAGTGGGTTAACTAGACTCCCTGTTAGAACAAAAATACCTATGAAGAAGGTTAAGTTTATATAGTCATTTATTTGTATAAATATTTTTCTATTCAGAGCAATTCTTAGTGGTTCAGATTTTTATGAAGGAGATCGATCTGCAGAGAAATGTGAAAGTGATTTTGTACAAATGGTGGGATATGGCAAGATTCAGTATCATTTGGAAGTTTGGACACTGACAGGCTCTGAGCATTGGACACTGAGGGAGAGGGAGGTACACGAGGCCTGGTAAAATAGTTTAACTTTTAGTTTTGCATTAGGTTCATCCTTTTGGAGGTTAGTATGCCGATGAAAAACAAATTCACAGAGCAGCTTGGTGCTGTCAGTACCATGGACAGAATGATGTGAATGAGACACATCTGGATTTAGATTCTGTTCCATTTGTGTCATTCATATGCTTTGTGATTTGGGCAACTTAATTAAGTCTTGTTTATGACACAGATGATAATTAACGTATTGATCTTAGCATCTTTTAAGTGTTCCTTTGTTCCTTGAGTCATCACTTTCTCTTCTGTCCAACTTAAATTTTATAGTATTTTGTTATCTATGATTTGCATTCTCAACTTCCTTGCATATACCCTCAGCTTTCTTGTCTCACTCTCACTTAAGTCCAGCTTAAATCCAGCCATTTTTAAACTTTAAGTTAGTATCTGTTAGTGTCTAAATTAGCAGCTATATACGTCGAGAGGAAAATGCAGAATCATGCTGACTAGTTTTACTTAAATTCATGGTCACAAATATCAAGTATCAAGTGAGTCCTTAATACTACCTGGCATTCATATTGTATTTTCCTAGATTGTTTATTCTTCTATTTTCTTAGATGACTTATTTAATGTTTTCTCTCATCAGACCTTCCAACATCTCATCCTCAATCTCTCAGCTGATGATTTTGGTTCCTACCTCACTGAGAAAATTGAAGCCATCAGAACAGAACTTGCATAGACTCCTTTTACTCTGTCTACCCATCTACCACCATCTCCATCCATATAACCTATCTTTCTACCCATTATTCTTTACTTTTCTATAACCAATCCCTTCGTTTGTGCATTAGAATCTATTTCCTAATGGCTTCTTAGGGACATTGCTCCAGCAGTTCTCCACTCTCACTCCTATGTCATAAAGTTTTTTCATACTGCATCACTACCACATGAAGACAAACCTACTGCTACCTCTGTCTTTAAACCTTCTTTTGTTTGACACTACTTCCCTTACCAGATAACAGTTATTTGCTTTCCAATTGCAGCAAACTCCTTGAAAGGATTATCTGTGCTCAATGACTCTAATTTCTTTCTTCCTGTTTCCTTTTAAATCCAGTATAATTAGGCTTCTGCCATTATCACTTTTGTTAGTCCATTCTCGCATTGCTATAAAGAAATGCCTGCGACTAGGTAATTTATAAAGAAAAGAGGTTTAATTGGCTCACGATTCTGCAGGCCATACAGGAAGCATAGTGACTGAGGCCTCAGGAAACTTACAATCAGGGCGGAAGGCAAAAGGAAAAAAGGCACATTTTACATGGCCAGAGCTGGAGGAAGAGAGAGAGAGTGGGGGGAGATGGTACACACTTTTAAACAACCAGATCTCCTTACAACTCTGTCAGTATACAGTACCAAGGGGGGTTGGTGCTAAAATTAATTCATGAGAACTATACCCCTGTGATCCAATCACCCCCTACCAGGCCCCACCCCCAGCATTGGGGATTACATTTCAACATGAGATTTGGATGGGGACACAGATCCAAACCATATCATCACTGAATTGAAACTACTCTTGATAAGGTCACCAATGATCTTCATATTGCTAAATCTCAAGTTAATTTCTCAATAGTCATCATTTCTCTTGACTTAGCAACATTTGATTTAGTTGATCATTCCTTCTTATACATACTTTTTTTTCACATGACTTCTGGGATGTTATACTTTAAAAAAATCTTCTGCACTCACTTTCTTGATGATCGTGACTGTAAATACCAAGTATGTGCTTACAACTCCTAAATTTATGTACCTGTTTAAGAAACTATTCCTGAATTGTACACATATATACACCTATGTCTGTATCTACTTGACATTACTATTTGGGTGTCTTAGTGACTTAATTAATATATTCCAAATACTGATTCCCTGCCTAACACTTGCTCTTCCTAGAGTATTTGTCAGTTAGTAAATGTCTACTCTTTTTCTAGTTGGGGCTATCCTTGAGACTTCTCTTGCTTTCTCCCACAGCCAACTTATCATCAAAATGACGATCAAACCATGAAAACATATCCCAGATGTGTCAATTCCCCACCACTTTCACTGCCATTACCCTGGTTCAAACCACCATTATCTCTCACCTGGATTACTATAGTAACCTCCTATCTTGTCTCTCAGTTACCCTTTTACACATCCTTTTGCAGTCTTTTCCAAACAGCCTGAGTGATCCCTTCAAAAAGTAAGTGAAATATTTTACTACTTTGCTGAGGACTCTCCAGTGGCTCTTCATTTCACTCAGTTTAAAAGCCACTGGCCTAAAAGGGCGTATAGGATCTGACCACCTGTTAGTTTTTTCTGTGTTACCTTTCTACTTTTATTCTTTTCTTTAGTCTTTCCACTTCTATTCTTTTCTTTAGTCTCTCCACTTCAGCCACACTGACCTCATTGCTGTTCCTGGTACATGCAGATGGGCTTTCACCTTAGGATTTGTGCACTGATGATTCTCTCTGCCTAGAATACTCTTTCCTCAGGAGTCACATGACCAAATTCCCTCAAATGTCACCTTCTCAAACGACTGTAATTAAAATTACAGCCTCTTCTCCTTTTCACATACACCCTTCCCCTATATACTCCTAATCCTCTTTGCCTGTTCTGTTTCTTTCCTATAGCATTTATTGCTGTTTAAGGTAATTCTTAATTTATGTATTGTGTTAACATTTGTCTTTCTCCTCGTTTGAATAAGTTTCACTTGTTAGAAGGGCAGGATTTTCATCTATTAGGTTTGTTTACCGATATATTTCAAGTACCTAGAATAGTGCCTTGCACATTGTAAGTGCCCAATGAATATTTGTTGAATGAAAGAAGAATGCAAGCCTTTCTTTTTTTCTTTTTTTTTTTTTAATTTATTTATTTTTTATTGATCATTCTTGGGTGTTTCTCACAGAGGGGGATTTGGCAGGGTCACAGGACAATAGTGGAGGGAAGGTCAGCAGATAAACAAGTGAACAAAGGTCTCTGGTTTTCCTAGGCGGAGGACCCTGTGGCCTTCCGCAGTGTTTGTGTCCCTGGGTACTTGAGATTAGGGAGTGGTGATGACTCTTAAGGAGCATGCTGCCTTCAAGCATCTGTTTAACAAAGCACATCTTGCACCGCCCTTAATCCATTTAACCCTGAGTGGACACAGCACATGTTTCAGAGAGCACAGGGTTGGGGGTAAGGTCACAGATCAACAGGATCCCAAGGCAGAAGAATATTTCTTAGTACAGAACAAAATGAAAAGTCTCCTGTGTCTACCTCCTACTACACAAACACGGCAACCATCCGATTTCTCACTCTTTTCCCCACTTTCTACTCCACAAAACCGCCATTGTCATCATGGCCCGTTCTCAATGAGCTGCCGGGCACACCTCCCAGACGGGGTGGTGGCCGGGCAGAGGGGCTCCTCACTTCCCAGTAGGGGCGGCCGGGCAGAGGCGCCCCCCACCTCCCGGACGGAGCGGCTGGCCGGGCGGGGGGCTGACCCCCCCACCTCCCTCCCGGACGGGGCGGCTGGCCGGGCAGAGGGGCTCCTCACTTCCCAGTAGGGGCGGCCGGGCAGAGGCGCCCCCCACCTCCCAGACGGGGCGGCTGGCCGGGCAGGGGGCTGACCCCCCCACCTCCCTCCCGGACGGGGCGACTGGCCAGGCGGGGGGCTGACCCCCCCACCTCCCTCCCGGATGGGGCGGCTGGCCGGGCAGAGGGGCTCCTCACTTTCCAGTAGGGGTGGCTGGGCAGAGGCGCCCCTCACCTCCCGGACGGGGCGGCTGGCCGGGCGGGGAGCTGACCCCCCCACCTCCCTCCCGGACGGGGCGGCTGGCCGGGCGGGGGGCTGACCCCCCCACCTCCCTCCCGGACGGGGCGGCTGGCCGGGCGGGGGGCTGACCCCCCCACCTCCCTCCCGGACAGGGTGGCTGGCCGGGCAGAGGGGCTCCTCACTTCCCAGTAGGGGCGGCCGGGCAGAGGCGCCCCTCACCTCCCGGACGGGGTGGCTGGCCGGGCGGGGGGCTGACCCCCCCACCTCCCTCCCGGACGGGGCAGCTGGCCGGGCAGAGGGGCTCCTCACTTCCCAGTAGGGGCGGCTGGGCGGAGGCTCCCCTCTCCTCCCGGACGGGGTGGCTGGCCAGGCGGGGGGCTGACCCCCCCACCTCCCTCCTGGACGGGGCGGCTGGCCTAGCGGTGGGTGACCTCCACCTCCTTCCTGGACGGGGTGGCTGCCGGGCGGTGACGCTCCTCACTTCTCAGACGGGGCGGCTTCGGGGGGGAGGGGCTCCTCACTTCTCAGACGGGGCGGCCGGGCAGAGACGCTCCTCACCTCCCAGACGGGGTTGCGGCCGGGTAGAGGTGCTCCTCACATCCCAGACGGGGCGGCGGGGCAGAGGCGCTCCCCACATCTCAGACGATGGGCGGCCAGGCAGAGACGCTCCTCACTTCCTAGATGGGATGGCGGCCGGGAAGAGGCGCTCCTCACTTCCTAGATGGGATGGTGGCTGGGAAGAGGTGCTCCTCACTTTCTAGATGGGATGGCGGCCGGGCAGAGACGCTCCTCACTTTCCAGACTGGGCAGCCAGGCAGAGGGGCTCCTCACGTCCCAGATGATGGGCGGCCAGGCAGAGAGGCTCCTCACTTCCCAGACGGGGTGGCGGCCGGGCAGAGGCTGCAATCTCGGCACTTTGGGAGGCCAAGGCAGGCGGCTGGGAGGTGGAGGTTGTAGTGAGCCGAGATCACGCCACTGCACTCCAGCCTGGGCAACATCGAGCACTGAGTGAACCAGACTCCATCTGCAATCCCGGCACCTCGGGAGGCCGAGGCTGGCCGGATCACTCACGGTTAGGAGCTGGAGACCAGCCCGTCCAACACAGCGAAACCCCGTCTCCACCAAAAAAATACGAAAACCAGTCAGGCGTGGCGGCGCGTGCCTGCAATCGCAGGCACTCAGCAAGCTGAGGCAGGAGAATCAGGCAGGGAGGTTGCAGTGAGCCGAGATGGCAGCAGTACAGTCCAGCTTCAGCTCGGTATCAGAGGGAGACCGTGGAAAGAGAGGGAGAGGGAGACCGTGGGGAGAGGGAGAGGGGGAGGGGGAGGGGGAGGGAGAGGGCCGCGTGTAACCTTTGTAACTTCACTTCAGCCTCTGAATGCAAGCCTTTCAAGATTGAATAGATATTAAATGTGATAATGTACTTGTATGGGCCTCAAACAATGACTGACATTTTGTACATGTTCAGTAAATTTGCTCTTTTTCTTTCTCTATTTCTTAATTACTTGGGATATCTGGAAGTGTACAGAGTGCTGTAGATTTCTAGATAGCTTGTTTTATTCCAGTGTTCTTGGTGGAGCCTTTGTGGCTGAATCCAGCTTTTCCCTCATGCTTCTTTTTGCCTTCTTCCTCTATCCAACAGAGGTGGTGGGAAGAATTAGAATTAAAGCAGGAGGAAGGGAAAAGAAATCTTAGCTTTTTGTAGATGGGTGAAAAATTGGTTAGACTTCAGCTTTTAATGATCTTTCAGTTTAGTAGGTCTCATATTTTTCACCATATGTTATTTTCTGATTCACAGTTTCTGGTATATAGTTGATGCTTAACAAATTTTTGGATGATTGTTTTCCATTTGTTTTGTGGAATCGATCTTTCCAAACATAGCAGGTCTTTTCTATTGATTAAAATAAGTAAAAGAGTCTGAAAACTAGAGGTTTAGTTCAGAATGCTGAGCAAAATCTGGTATTGTCATATGACGCATGGGCCAAGGGGAGAAAATATAGTTACACAGTGAATCAGAAATAGACAAGTTTTGGCAAGGACAAGGTATTTGAAAAAGTATAGCCCTTTAGGTTTTATAAAGCTTTTTCTGTTGTTGTTTTATTCTTATAAAACTCTTTTGTTATGCCAGTATTATAATGGGAAGCTGAGGCTCGGTGTGGTGATATATCCTGTACAAGGTCAAACAGTAAGTATCAGTTCGTCTTAACAGACAAATTTCGTGTTCATTCTGGTAAGACAAGGAAACAGGACAACAACAACAATAACGAAACAATGTTCTGAGGCATTTATGCTGGGTTCATGTACTGGTGTGCATACCATACATCATATCCTTTCTCTGATCCTGATAACCTTTCACAGGGTGATGGTTATGATACTTAAAAATGAGATAATAAATATAAAAGTGCCATAAAACATTGTGTTGTTGGTATTATTATTCCATCATAGGATAGCAAGTAATAATACAGGCATACTTTGTTTTAGTTCACCTCATGGATATTGCATTTTTCACAAATTGAAGGTTTGTGGCAACCTTTTATCCAGCAGACTTGTTGGTATCATTTTTTTTTTAACAACGTGTACTCACTTCGTGTTTCTGTGTCATGTTTTTGTAATTCTCCTAGTATTTCAGCCTTTTTCATTATCATATCTGTTATGGTGATCTGTGATCAGTGATTTTTGATGTTACTATTGTAATTTTTTTTTTTTTTTTTTTTGAGATGGAGTCTCGCTCTGTCGCCCAGTCTGGAGTGCAATGGCACGATCTCGGCTCACTGCAACCTCTTCCTCCCAGGTTCAAGAGATTCTTCTGCCTCAGCCTCCCATGTAGCTGGGATTACGGGCGCCCACTACCATGCCTGGCTAATTTTTGTATTTTTAGTAGAGATGGGGTTTCACCATGTTGGCCAGGCTGGTTTCGAACTCCTGACCTCAGATGATCCACCTGCCTCAGCCTCCCAAAGTGCTGGGATTACAGGCGTGAGCCATTGCACCCAGCCTACTATTGTAATTGTTTTGGGGAGCCATGAACTGTGTCCATATAATATGGTGAACATAATATGTGAATTCTGACTCTTCCACCGACGAGCAGTTTCCCCATCTCTCTCGCTGTCTCCTCAGGCTTCCCTATTCCCTGAGATACAAAATATTCCCTGAGTATTGAAATTAGGCCAGATAATAATCCTACAGTGGCCTCTAGGTGTTCAAGATCTAGAGATCCTGATTTAATGTGAGACACATCCCTCAGATTAAATCAAAAGCTAGAAATGGTTAAGCTTAGTGAGGAAGGAATACTAAAAACTGAGACAGGTGGAAAGGTAGGCCTCTTGTGCCAAATAGCCAAGTTGTGAATACAAAGGAAAAATTATTTTAAAAAATAGCAGAGAACATTTATTCTGAGAGATTTGTATATTATACTTCTGAGGATCTAAGAGAAAATAACAAATTTTCATATTTCAGTTAAATTTATGGAAATACAAATGGTAGCATCTGTATTCCTACCATTTCTGACTTTTTACGTGCTCTCATTTTATTGGTTTCACTTTTTATACTATATCTCTAAGGATAATGTATCTAAATATATGTATTATGTGTTAATTTATATATAAATAAAAGTTATCATATACTTCCATGGTATGATTATAGAGAAAAATTTTTACATTAGAATGTGTCTAAAGTTTTTTTCTTAACTTTTATTTTAGTTTTGGGGTACATGTACAGATTCATTATATTGGTAAGTTGTGTGTCACAGGGGGTTGGTGAACAGATTATTTTGTCACCTGGAAAAATTATTGAAGGAAATATAAAGTGCTACTCCAGTGAATACACAAATGATAAGAAAGCAAAACAGCCATATCGCTGATATGAAGAAAGTTTGAGTAGCCTGGATAGAAGATCAAACAAGCCACAACATTTTGTTAAGCCAAAGCTTAATCCAGAGCAAGGTTCTAACTCTTCTCAATTCTGTGAAGGTCAAGAGTGGTATGGAAATTGCAGGAGAAACATTGGGAGCTGGCTAGAGGTTGATTCGTGAGGTATAAGAAAAGAAGCCATTTCCATTACATGAAAATGCAAAGTGAAGCAGAAAGTGTTGATGTGATACTTGCAGCAAATTATATAGAAAATCTAGTTAAGATCATTGATTAAGGTGGCTACGAAACTACAGATTTTCAATATAGATGAAGCAGCCTTATATATTGAAAGAAGATGCCATCTAGTGTCTTCATAGCTAGACAGGAAAAAAAAGCTTCAAAGGACATGCTGAGTCTCTCATTAGGGGTTAATGGAGCTAGTGACTTTAAGTTGAAGCCAGTGCTTATTTCCTATTCTGAAATCCTGTGCCATTAAAAATGATGCTAAGTCATTCTGCCTGTGCTGTATAAAGGGAACAACAAAGCCTGAATGATGGCACATTTGTTTACGGCATGGTTTACTAAATATTTTAAGCCTATTATTGATACCTACTGCTCAGAAAGAAAGCTTTATTTCAAAGTATTACTACTTATTGATAATGTACCTAGTCACCCAAGAGCTCAGATAGAGATATACAAGGAGATTAATGTTTTCATGCCTGCTAACCCAACATCCATTTTGCAGCCCATGGATCAAGGAGTAATTTCAGCTTTCAATTCATATTAAGAAATACATTTTGAAAGGCTATATAGCTACCATAGATAGTAATTCCTTTGATGGATCTGAGCAAAGTAAGTGAAAAACCTTCCGGAAGGAATTCAGCATTCTTGATACCATTCAGAACAATCATGATTCATGCGAGGAGGTCAAAATGTCAACATTAACAGTAATTTGGAAGAAGTTGAATCCACCCATCAAGACTTCACTGATGGATGTGGTGGAAATAGCAAGAGAACTAGAATTAGAGATGGAGCCTGAAGATGTGACTGAATTGCTGCAGTCTCATGATAAAACTGGAATGGATGAAGAGTTGCTTCTTATGGATAAGTAAAGAAAGTGGTTTCTTGAGATGGAATCTACTCCTGGTGATAATGCTATAGACATTGTTGAAGTGACAACAAAGGGTTTTAATTATTACATGAACTTAGTTGATAAAGCAGTAGCAGGGTTTGAGAGGATTGACAGCAATTTTGAAAGAAGTTCTTCTGTCAGTAAAATTCTATCAAACAGCATTGCCTGCTACAGATAAATATTTTGTAAAAAGAAGAGTCAACTGATGCAGCAACTTCATTGTGGTTTTATTTTAAGAAATTGCCACAGCCACCCCAACCTTCAGCAGCCACCACCCTGATCAGTCAGCAGCTATATACATTGAGGCAAGACTCTCCACCAGCAAAAAGATTATGATTCACTGATGGCTTGGAGGATGGTTAGCATTTTTTTAGCAGTAAGGTTTTTTTTTGTTGTTGTTGTTTTTTTTTGAGACGGAGTCTCACTCTGTCGCCCAGGCTGGAGTGCAGTGGCACGATCTCGGCTCACTGCAAGCTCCACCTCCTGGGTTCACGCCATTCTCTTGCCTCAGCCTCCCGAGTAGCTGGGACTACAGGTGCCCGCCACCACGCCTGGCTAATTTTTTGTATTTTTTAGTAGGGATGGAGTTTCACCGTGTTAGCCAGGATGGTCTCGATCTCCTGACCTTGTGATCCACCCATCTCGGCCTCCCAAAGTGCTGGGATTACAGGCGTGAGCCACCACGCCCGGCCAGCAGTAAGGTATTTTTAAATTAAGGTATGTGCATTGTGTTTTTAGATATAATGCTTTTGCACTCTTAATAGAATACAGTATTGTATAAACAAACATTTATATGCACTGGAAAAGCAGCCAGTTGGTCTTTAAAATTCCTTTACCCTGTCTTTCAGTAACACTACTCTTTCCTTGTTTATCACTGATCTTTGTAGCCACTCATTCTCTACAGAATTTTTCTTCCTCTGTGTGGTCTTAAATATCTGTGTTTTTTGTAGTTCATCCCTGGTCCTTAGCCCATTTTACTCTAGATGTCATTTTGAGGTAACCTTTCCTATACTTGATACTGCCTCCTATATCTAAGTCTTGAGCTAGAAAGTTTGTTGCTCTTCGGATATTCACATTGTGTTCTCCATTCACTTTTTGACTTGGTTATCCTCTAGACACCTGTATTAGTCCATTCTTGCACGGCTATAAAGAAGTTCTTGGGACTGGGTAATTGATAAAGAAAAGAGGTTTAATTGGCTCAGTGCTCCACAGGCTGTACAGGAAGCATAGCTGGTGAGGCTTCAGGAAAATTTCAGTCATGGCGGAAGATGAAGGGGAAGCAGGCATGTCTTACATGGCCAGAGCAGGAGGAAGAGAAAGAAGGAGGAGGTGCTACACAGTTTTAAACAACCAGATCTCGTGAGAACTCACTAAGTATCACTAGAACAGCAAGGGGGAATCCATCTCCATGATTCAATCACCTCCCACCAGGCCACTCTTCCAACATTGGGGATTACAATTCTGCATGAAATTTGGGCAGGGATACAAATCAAAACCGTATCAGCACCCCTTCATGCCCCAAAGAGAAACCAACCTTTATCTTTGAAACCTTGTCACTGAAGCTCCCAGCCTGGTTAAGAGGGACTTCTGATTCTATAATCTAAAAATCATGAAGTCATCTTAGACACCTCCCTTTCATTTTTCCCCACATCTACTTACTCATTAATGTCTGGCTCCCTAGTATGCCTGGAAATCTGTTTACTTTCCTGGTTTTTATTCTGTATAATCACTATCATGAGCAAAATAAGAACAGTCCCATCTCATCAGAAAGTTATTTCATACCTGACACTTTCTACTTCACTGTTCCCATCTCATTTTCTAACTCATCCTGCTTCCAGCTTCTAATTTCCAATGTAAGACCTTACAACTAAATAACTGCATTTACTCACTCCCCTAGTGTGATTTTTAAATCACATTTTAAACTTTTATATACGTTATAAGCCCTACTTTACAGTGTTTTATTTTGCTTTAAACAGTTATTTGATTTTTAAGTGAATTATGAGAAAGGAAACAGTTTTTGTGTTTACCAATTTATTTACCATTTCTGAAGCTCTTTTTTCCTTTCTGTAAGTCTACATATCCATTTGATAGAATTTGTCTTTGGTCTGAAGAACACTCTTCAGCATTTCTTACAATGTAGATTGACTGGCAAGCATTCTCTCAGCTTTTGTTTAGCTAAAAATGTCTTTATTCCACCCTCATTTCTGAAGGATATTTATTATTGATGAATATAAAATTCTAGGTCGATAGCCTTCACCCCCCAAGTACTTTAAAGATATCATTTTACTGTTTTCTGACTTCCAGTGAGAGGCTGGGAATAATTCTTATTTCTCCCATACATGATGTCTCCCTGCCTCCCTTTCTTTTTGTCCCTTTTCTGGCTGCTTTCAAGATTTTTTCTTACTTTTGTTTTTAATCAATTGATTAAAACTGTATTGATTCTAATGTATCTCAGTGTGGTTCTCTTTATATTTATCCTGTTTGGGATTGGCTAAACTTCTTTTTTTTTTTCTTTTTTCTTTTCTTTTCTTTTTTCTTTTTTTAGACAAGAGTTTCGTTGTTGTTTCCCAGGCTGGAGTGCAGTGGCACGATCTTGGCTCACTGTAACCTCCGCCTCCCAGGTTCAAGCGATTCCCTGCCTCAGCCTCTCAAGTAGCTGGGATTACAGGTGCCCGCTACCATGCCCGGCTAATTTTTTCTATTTTTATTAGAGAAGGGGTTTTACCACATTGGCCAGGCTGGTCTCGAACTTTTGACCTCAGGCAATCTGCCCGCCTCGGCCTCTCAAAGTGCTAGGATTATAGGCATGAGCTACCGCACCTGGCCCTAAACTTCTTAAAAGTTGGTGTTTTTCATCATATTTGAGAACTTTCTAGTCACTATTTTTAAAATATTCTGCCCCAGTCTCACTCTTTTCTCCTCTAGGATCACAGTTACATATATTTCAAACAATATGAAATTGTCCCAATGGCCTCTGAAGCTTCATTTATTTCTCTTCAGCCTTTTATCTCTCTGTCAGGTTAGAGAATTTTGATTGATTGGTCTTCAACTTCACTTTTCCTGCCAACGTCAATATACTGTTAATCCTCTCCAATAATATTTTAATTTTAATTATTGTACTTTTTTTTTTTGAGCCAGAGTCTCACTCTGTCACCAGGCTGGAGTGCAGTGGTGCGATCTCTGTTCACTGCAACTTCTGCCTCCCGGGTTCAAGCAATTCTCCTGCGTCAGCCTCCTGAGTAGCTGGGACTACAGGCATGGGCCACCACGCCCGCCTAATTTTTGTAGTTTTAGTAGAGACGGGGTTTCACCTTGTTGGCCAGGATGGTCTCCATCTCTTGACCTCATGATCCTCCTGCCTCGGCTTCCCAAAGTGCTGGGATTACAGGCATGAGCCACCACCCCCAGCCTCAGTTATTGTACTCTTAAGCTCTGGAATTTTCATTTAGTTCCTCTTTATGGTTTCCATTTTGTTAATTTCTCAGTTAATCTAAATTATTGATTTTTAACGTGATAGTTTCTTTGACTCTATCTTCTCTTTGTTTAATTTCATCAAAAATCCTCTTATTTCATCTTATTATGAAATGATTCTAGATACAATTTAATATAAATTAACAATATTTGGCTGCTTATCTGAAAGTTTATATTTTGGAATTTTTTTTACTTTTCTGAACCTTCTGTGGGTTTTTATGCTTGAAAATAGCATGGACTTATTTGTGCCAGGATGCATATGTGATCAAGGGCAGAGATAGGGATAGAAATAAAATTAAGGTTAGGTTCTATAGAACAACAGCCAGTGAGACAAGTAGGACTGTGGCTTCAATAAAGTCTTAAATTGAGTATAAGTGGCAGTGGATTACATTTTGCTCTTATATTTTTGTATTCGTCCATTCTCACACTGCTATAAAGGATACTACCTGAGACTCGGTAATTTATAAAGGAAAGAGATTTAATTGACTCACAGTTGCACATGGCTAGGGAGGCCTCAGGAAACTTATAATCGTGGCGGAAGGCAAAGGGGTAGCAAGGACCTTCTTCACATGGTGGCAGGAGAGAGTGGAATGAGAGCACAGGAAAAACTATCATTTATAAAACCATCAGATCTCATAAGAATTCATTCGCTATCACAAGTACAGCATGGAGGAACCACCCTCATAATCCAATCACTTCCCAACAGTTTCCTCCCTTAATACCCGGGGATTACAATTCAAGATGAGACTTGGATACAAAGCTAAACCATATCAGCTGTCAATTATATAGTCAGGGAATCATAGACTTTTAGTACTTGTACAAACTTTAGAAATGATCCTCTAACAAGCTCATTTTCATACTGATAAAATGTGTGTGCTAGGATTTCATACATGCTGGGTTGAATGGGTAGGTGATAGGTACCTCCAATGTGGACTGTTAGGCCAAGAATGTTACATTATGAAGGGCATTTTAAATTAGGATGTGAAGCAAATGCTTGAAGTAGAAGCCTTCATATATTCTAGTACCCAAAGATACTATGACAGTTGCCATGAAGGAACCTTATAAAGCTCTCAGCCAATATATGGCAGATAATATTAATGTATAGCTTCAGAATATTGGAACTAAAGTAGATTCATAATTTGCAGGATAAACAGGTCACCAGTTTAAAAACAGAAAAAAATCCCCACAAAAAAAACAAAAGAAGCGTAAGTACTTAACGTTTATTGTGTCACAGAAATCTGTAGCAGATTCTGAACATATGGTAGGTTACATAGATGGTATATTATGCATATGGTATATATATAACATACATATTTACTTATGGACACATATTTGCCTAAATTGCATTAAGTTCTATAATATTACTGAGTAATAATTTTCCTCCTTTTCTGTATTGATACAGCATCTGTAAATGCTTATCAATAGGCAAATGAAGTGAATATTTTGCAGATGTCTACAGTTTATCACTGTCTCCCTCACATCTATCACAATGTGTGGCGTATGGTAGGTGCTTAATAAATATTTGTTGAATGAGTTAATGAATGTGTCCTATGATTGCCCCCCCGCAACCCACGCTGCCTTTTGAAAGACTCATTGCTTTGAAAGAATATGTAGAAAGATGGATTTCATTTTTATACTGATGGTACTACCAAATACATTATCATTGTAAAGTTCAGCGATAAGACAAAAAAAGAAAAAAAATCCTGTGAAATAGAACTGTTATCCCCTAACCTTTAGGTTTGTCTTAGTGTTTGGGATTTCTCCTGAGTCATCTTAGGAGAACACTAACTTATCTGTTAGTGAACAAGTAATAACTAAAGCATTTTTATGTGATGGGTAACTAAAGTTTTGAGACTTTAAAAAAACCCCTACTTTAATGGTTTTCATTTATTTTGGTAATCATTTTCTACCTTATATTGTTTATTATTTATGTGTTTCATGTGCAGTCTTTGCTTAGCAATGGGGATGTATTCTGAGAAATACATAATTTGGCGATTTCATCATTGTTTGAACATCATAGAATGTACTTACACAAACCTAGATAGTATAGCCTACTACACACCTAGGCTATATGTTATAGCCTATTGCTCTTAGACTACAAACCTGTATAAATGTTACTGTACTGAGTGCTGTAGGCAGTTGCAACACAGTGGTATTTGTGTATCTGAAGATTCTAAATATAGATAAGATACAGTAAAAATATGATGTTATAATCTTATGAGACCACCATCATATATGTGGTCCATCATTGACCAATATGTCATTATGTGGTACATGACTGTATATGAATATTATTCAACTAGATTGCATACTTCTTAAGTATAAAGACCCTCTTTTACACAATTTTTTGCCATATAGCATAGTATTATTCATGTAGTTGATGGTCAGTACATCATAAGATTTAAAAGGTGGTTGCAGAACACAACTATTATCCTTGAAACTCTGTTGATCTTTAAGCTTTGACTCTAAAGAGATGTCGTTAATGGTTTTTCCATCCAGTTCTCTTTCTAAGGGAAACAACTTCTGTACTCTTGGTTCCTGCCAAAGAGGTATGCCCAAAAAACTAAGGGTATGGAAATAGAAACAACTAGGAATATCCAAATAATCCTGCTAGATATTTAGTTTTAGGTACACATTCTGATCTATAAAATGAAATGAAACTATTTATATTCACATCAGTGAATTTTGAGAAATGAGTGTAAGTGATAGAGCCAAAACTTTTGGTCCCATAATTATTTATGCCTGCATTTAAGAACTAGTTTTAAAAATATGTTTATATAATTTTATATTAAATATATATCATTGAATTAATTGAGGATTTACAGAAGTACTTTATATTGACTTATTTCATTATAATTTTAAATTGGTGTTTCTTCATGGCAACTGTTATAGTATCTTTGGGTCCTAGAATACACAAAGGCTTCTACTTCAAGCATTTGCTACACATACTAATTAAAAAACAAAAACAAAAACAACCTGATAGGCTGAGTGCAGTTGCTCATGCCTCTAATTCCTGAACTTTGGGAGCCAAGACAGGAGGATTGCTGAGCCCAGGAGTTTGAGACCTGCTTGGCCAAGATGACAAGACCGTTTCTATACAAAAATAAAACTAAAAAATAAAATTAGCTGGGCGTGGTGACGTGTGCATGTAGTCCCAGTTACTCAGGAGGCTGAGGCTGGAGGATTTCTGGAGCCCAGGAGTTTGAGGTGGTAGTAAGCTAAGATATGGCCACTGTACTCCAGCCTGGGCAACAAAGCATGACCCTGTCTGAAATAGATAGATAGATAGATACATAGGTAGGTAGATAGATAGATAGATAGATAGATAGATAGATAGATAGATAGATAGAATGAATTTAATGAGCGCTAAGATATAAAAGAGTATTTTCCCAAATTTTGTTGAGAATATAATAATAAAATGATGGTTTAATGGAGGGGAACTTATAATTTAAGTGAAAGACCAGTCATTATGAATTTAAGTGAACATTCAGTGAGATACTTTGTACTTACAAGTAGAATGCTTATTTGAATTATCTTTAGAAATCATATCTTTAAGAATTTGTCTTCAGTTATATTGGCAGAATTCTGATGATTTTAAGAAATATTCCCTTTTAAGGGAAAATAAGTTACTTTTTTGCATTAAATCATAAGTTAGAACATACTACATAATTATTAAAGGTATATATAACTTTTTTTCTCAGAGCCTTCATGTTTTCTCATGAATAAGACCAAAGTGTTAAGTTACAAGAAAGGTAGTTGAGGGCTGTCACATTATCTGTATGTTCCCCTCTGGATTCTGCTTAAATGTGGTTAAACAAGGCTGCCATCAGAAATCACCTTGACTTTTAAAAGTGTGTCTGATTTCAGAATTATGCATGGAATGAATTTCTTAAAAGTTATTTATTACTTATTATATGAGTTATTAATACAATCTAGTAGTTGTAGAATTCTAAATTATGATAACCTTCTTGCCCTTGATTCTCATTTTTGTTTGAGAATGTTTCTTTGCCCTGGCTGCAATTTATAATATGGTGCTAATTACTATTCACTTGAGACAACATTTGATGTTTTTAAGTATATAATTATTATTTTAGGAGTAGTTTAGTAGCTCCTTTGAAAAGTTACAAAAACCTTCTCAATGAAAATATTTTCTCTTTAAAAACCTGAGAAAATGATTTTTTTCCTAAAACAAAACTCCTAAATCAAAGTGGGATGGGTCTCCAGTTGAAGAGTTGGTAGTCTTTACCACAGTAGGCTAGTAAGCGTCAGTGTATAAGATACTGTATAAGCTTATAGCTTCCTGAGGAACTATAGCATCATGATAGTATATACTCCCAGTCAGAATTTATTTTCAGGAATGACATAAATACCTTGTTATAACTGATATTTTGTACAAAGAATACTGAAATACAGTGAGGAAAATACATAGAGAAGACAACACTGATTACTGAAGATCAAAAATTTTTTTATATGAAATTCTGTAATCTGAACAAATGAAGAGGCAAGGTGTCAGAAAGTGAAAAATAATCTGATTTTACTATCTGTATCTTATATAATGATATTCATCAAACCCCTGTATATTTTTTTATGTCATAGGCCTCCATTCAATAAGTCTTTAATGTGCTCTTAGTCTTGATATGTAATCCTACTGTTAAAGGCTTTATTACATGTTTTAAGTCATTCTTACTTTACTTTTTAATTGCTTATGTCATTTAATATAGAGTTCATTCTGTAAATGTAATTAGGTAATGCTATTCTTACTAAGTTAATCTTGAATTAACAGCTTTTCTTTTTTATTATTTTATTTTATTATTATTATACTTTAAGTTTTAGGGTACCTGTGCACAATGTGCAGGTTAGTTACATATGTATACATGTGCCATGCTGGTGTGCTGCACCCATTAACCTGTCATTTAGCATTAGGTGTATCTCCTAATGCTATCCCTCCCCCCTCCCCCAACCCCACAACAGTCCCCAGAGTGTGTTGTTCCCCTTCCTGTGTCCATGTGTTCTCATTGTTCAATTCCCACCTATGAGTGAGAATATGTGGTGTTTGGTTTTTTGTCCTTGCGATAGTTTACTGAGAATGATGATTTCCAATTTCATCCATGTCCCTACAAAGGACATGAACTCATCATTTTTTATGGCTGCATAGTATTCCATGGTGTATATATTGCCACATTTTCTTAATTCAGTCTATCATTGTTGGACATTTGGCTTGGTTCCAAGTCTTTGCTATTGTGAATAGTACCGCAATAAACATATGTGTGCATGTGTCTTTATAGCAGCATGATTTATAGTCCTTTGGGTATATACCCAGTAATGGGATGGCTGGGTCAAATGGTATTTCTATTTCTAGATCCCTGAGGAATCACCACACTGACTTCCACAATGGTGGAACTAGTTTACAGTCCCACCAACAGTGTAAAAGTGTTCGTATTTCTCCACATCCTCTCCAGCACCTGTTGTTTCCTGACTTTTTAATGATTGCCATTCTAACTGGTGTGAGATGGTATCTCATTGTGGTTTTGATTTGCATTTCTCTGATGGTCAGTGATGATGAGCATTTTTTCATGTGTTTTTTGGCTGCATAAATGTCTTCTTTTGAGAAGTGTCTGTTCATGTCCTACACCCAGTTTTTGATGTGGTTGTTTGTTTTTTTCTTGTAAATTTGTTTGAGTTCATTGAAGATTCTGGATATTAGCCCCTTGTCAGATGAGTAGGTTGTGAAAATTTTCTCCCATTTTGTAGGTTGCCTGTTCACTCTGATGGTAGTTTCTTTTGCTGTGCAGAAGCTCTTTAGTTTAATTAGATCCCATTTGTCAATTTTGGCTTTTGTTGCCATTGCTTTTGGTGTTTTAGACATGAAGTCCTTGCCCATGTCTGTGTCCTGAATGGTAATGCCTAGGTTTTTTTCTAGGGTTTTTACAGTTTTAGGTCTAACATGTAAGTCTTTAATCCATCTTGAATTAATTTTTGTATAAGGTGTAAGGAAGGGATCCAGTTTCAGCTTTCTCCATATGGCTAGCTAGTTTTCCCAGCAGCATTTATTAAATAGGGAATCCTTTCCCCATTGCTTGTTTTTGTCAGGTTTGTCAAAGATCAGATAGTTGTAGATATGCGGCGTTATTTCTGAGGGCTCCGTTCTGTTCCATTGGTCTATATCTCTGTTTTGGTACCAGTACCATGCTGTTTTGGTTACTGTAGCCTTGTAGTATAGTTTGAAGTCAGGTAGCGTGATGCCTCCAGCTTTGTTCTTTTGGCTTAGGATTGACTTGGCAATGCGGGCTCTTTTTTGGTTCCATATGAACTTTAAAGTAGTTTTTTCCAATTCTGTGAAGAAAGTCATTGGTAGCTTAATGGGGATGGCATTGAATCTGTAAATTACCTTGGGCAGTTTGGCCATTTTCACGATATTGATTCTTCCTACCCATGAGCATGGAATGTTCTTCCATTTGTTTGTATCCTCTTTTATTTCATTGAGCAGTGGTTTGTAGTTCTCCTTGAAGAGGTCCTTCACGTCCCTTGTAAGTTGGATTCCTAGGTATTTTATTCTCTTTGAAGCCATTGTGATTGGGAGTTCACTCATGATTTGGCTCTCTGTTTGTCTGTTATTGGTGTATAAGAATGCTTGTGATTTTTTGCACATTGATTTTGTGTCCTGAGACTTTGCTGAAGTTGCTTATCAGCTTAAGGAGATTTTGGGCTGAGACAAAGGGGTTTTCTAGATATGCGATCATGTCATCTGCAAACAGGGACAATTTGACTTCCTCTTTTCCTAATTGAATACCCTTTATTTCCTTCTCCTGCCTGATTGTTCTGGCCAGAACTTCCAACACTATGTTGAATAGGAGTGGTGAGAGAGGGCATCCCTATCTTGTGCCAGTTTTCAAAGGGAATGCTTCCAGTTTTTGCCCATTCGGTATGATATCAGCTGTGGGTTTGTCATAGATAGCTCTTATTATTTTGAAATACATCCCATCATTACCTAATTTATTGAGAGTTTTTAGTATGAAAGGTTGTTGAATTTTGTCAAAGGCCTTTTCTGCATCTATTGAGATAATCATGTGGTTTTTGTCTCTGGTTCTGTTTATATGCTGGATTACATTTATTGATTTGCATATGTTGAACCAGCCTTGCATCCCAGGGATGAAGCCCACTTGATCATGATGGATAAGCTTTTTGATGTGCTGCTGGATTCGGTTTGCCAGTATTTTATTGAGGATTTTTGCATCAATGTTCATCAAGGATATTGGTCTAAAATCTCTTTTTTGGTTGTGTCTCTGCCCGGCTTTGGTATCAGGATGATGCTGGCCTCATAAAATGAGGTAGGGAGGATTCCCTCTTTTTCTATTGATTGGAATAGTTTCAGAAGGAATGGTACCAGTTCCTCCTTGTACCTCTGGTAGAATTCGGCTGAATCCATCTGGTCCTGGACTCTTTTTGGTTGATAAGCTATTGATTATTGCCACAATTTCAGAGCCTGTTATTGGTCTATTCTGTATTCTGTCGAATCCTGAGGTTTCTTGAATCTGAGGTAGCATGGACTAAAATTGCCATTTTATTTCCTAACAGTTGCCTCACAGATTTCATTTTACATATAAGGAAATTGGTGCCCAGATGTTGAAGAAATAGGGTACCCAGGTTTACACAAATATTTAGCTATTGGACTGTAACTAGAATATAGTTTATCTTATATCTAGTTTTAATCTATATATGTGTATTATTTCTAGAATTAGGCTGAGTAAATTGACATTAATTTAAAAAACAAAAGTTACTATACTTTTAGTTTTCTATTGTTATACAAAATTACCATAAATGTTGTGCCTTAAGCAATAAAAATTTGTTATTATGTAGTTCTGAAGATCAGAGGTCCAATACAGGTCTCAGGGCTAAAATCAAGGTGTCAATAGGGCTGCATTTCTTTCTGGGGGCTCGCAGGGAGAATCCAGTTCCTTGCCATTTCCACCTTCTAGAGGCTGCCTGCATACCTTAGCTCATGGCCTCTTTTCTTCCTTCTTCAAAGCCAACAATGATGGGTTGAGTCCTTCTCACACTGCCATTTGCCCTATTCTCTTTCTTTGAAAACAATTGGGAAAGGGTCTCTCTTTTAAGGACTCGTGATGAGATTGGGCCAACACAGATAATCCAAGATAATCTCCACATCTCAAAATCCTTAGTATTAATTGTATTTGCTACATGAAGGGAAGAAAAAATGTCCTTTTTTCCTCCCTCTACTCTCCTAAGTTCTGTCTCTGGGGTCCTGTAAATTAGACTGATAAGAGACAGATTAAGTTTCAGTTAGATGAATAAATTCTGCGGATCTATTTCAGTGTGATGACTCTAGTATTGTATACTTGAAAATTATTCAGACAGTAGGTCTTAAATGTACTTACCACAGAAAATAAGTTTGTGAGGTGATGGATACATTAATTAGCTTGATTTAATCATTTTTACAATATATACATATATCAAAACATCACATTGTGCATTATAAGTATATCCAATTTTTATTTGTCAATTGTACCTTAACAAAATTTGGGGTGGGGGAAACAGATAAGAGAAAATGAAACAAATTTATTAACATGTGGATTGCTTATACACAGGAGAGTACTCAATGATTAGTAACTCAAAGCGTTTGTTGGAATTTGGGCTTACGTATCCTTTTAACCAAAGAATAATTTTGTAGAGGGAAGACAGGACGAAGGAAAGGGACTTTGAGCTACTAAGAACAGCAAATTGTAGGATAATAAATATACGCGGGAAATCAATGGAAGATAAGGGATAGTATGGTTTGCTCAGTAGATTCTTCTAGTGCTGTCTTTTGGCTGATAAGGTTCTGGAATTGTCTTTGGTGATAAAGTATCAACTAAGAATCGAATAGTCCTGCCCTTTCTAGTAGAGAGGAGGAGGGCAGAGGATTTTGTGTCTGTGTGTGTGTGTGTTTGTGTGTGTGTGTGCGCAAACTTGCCTTTTCTTAATTGACGTTAGCTCAAAATAATCCTTATGCGAAAGTGGCGTATTTTGGGGTGGCATACTCTGAATTCCTTGATGTGTAAGATATATTCACAGGTTCTAGAGATTAGGACATCGACAGCTTTCGTGGGGAGATATTCTGCCTACAAACTATGCATTTAAAATTCATTTTCTCCTTTAAGGGATTTTATTGGTATAAATATATAATCTATGAAGAACTTATGAAATAAGTTTTAATGCTCTAGACCTCTCAAATAATAACTTTTAATTATTAGACTAATAAACGTAGTTTCTTGAATGCTAGAAATATGATTTTCAAAAATAATATGGGGTGTAACATCTAATGTGACTAACTTTTCACAATGTATTAAGATGTAATTTAAGCTTCGTATCACATGTGTAGGGGTTGCTACATGGTGGGTTTACTATATATGTACCTGATTCTTTTTTGATAGGTCTACTGGTCCAAAGGCAAGAATGAAGAGTTCTTTCTGTATTATTTTTGAATACTAGATTTCATCTTAATGACTTCACTCCTTTTCCTTTTAGCTCTCTAAATTTTTCTTGTGGGGCTGGTTTTATGCTCATTTGAGCATTCACATGTTCATTCAGCCAGAGCTTAATTTAGGACCAATCCTTTCTCTAAAGGAAATGTAAGCAATCCTAAGCTAGTAACTAAGCTGGTTGTTATAGTCTCATTTTACATTCCAATTCTAATGTCTTTCTTTATTTCTTATGACCAAACCTTTTTCTAGTAGTTCATTTTCAGTATCCCGTCTGATTTACTACCATATCTTTGTGTAGAAAAAACTGCTGCTAAAACTTAGGCCTCATGGCTGGTTTTTTATTTTTATTTTTTTTCTTGGCCAACTTAATCTTGCTAATTCTGATTGCTTGCATTTCCATTCACTGGATGCTTATCATTCTCTTAAGTGATGGTAATTTCTAGTCTGGCTTTTCTTGCTTACTGACAAAACCTTGGTTCTGATATTCAGAGTTTAATTCATAGACCATAGCAAGTTTTTGTCTTAGTGTTTTGCATTACTATTATGGTAAGTACACAGTAAGCGTTTGATGAATACTTGCATGTTTCATTTGAAACATTCAGAGGGCATGAACGTATATGACTCTCTAATGATTTCTGAAGTTCCCATTCATCTTCATACATCTGGGGAATTGATAGCTATCTCTATGTAAATGTGATTCCTTATTAAATTATAGGGAGATTGGGTTTAAAAAAATAACTGTCCTTATCTACCCTGGTGGTTCTTAGATTTTTGGATTTTATGGACTAGTAAAATGTATTTAAAAATTTGGAGGATGTACAAAGAAGTGTAACTTTTTATATTTCTAAATAAGAGCATAATAAAATTAAACTATAATCAGCTCTCACCATGATATCATAAAGGAACATTTGAATATCAAAAAACTTGGAAAGACAAAGTCACTGAATAAAAAAATTTTATAAATTCAATAAATTTAGCTTTATACAAAAACTCAATATATTATCTTTTACTTTTCCATGTTTACTTAGAATGACTAAAACTTGCTTTAAAAAATGGGTCTTGGGTAATGCTAATATAGTCATCCCTTTTATTTAAGTAGGGCCTGAGACTTTCCTAAATCCTAAAACTAGCCAATGATTGAAAGCAAGGAGTAGGAGGTATTTAAAGTATAGTCTTTTGCTTAGGATGGTTTCCTTTGAACACAAATCCAACATTTTGATATATGTAGCAAATAACAATTTATCATTTCTGCATCCTTTCTTTTCCATTTCTTACAAAAATATCAGTGGTTCCAGGTCACTGTGAGGTAGGTATAGTAAGATTTTGTGTGTGTGCGTGTGCATGCATATGTTCACGTGTTTGGTGGTATGCATAAAAGTGGTTGTGTGTGCATGCATATTTCAGTGTGTCATACACACCCTACTATCAAATAATATTATCATTAAGCCTCAATTTTAGGTAGCCACTATGAACCTGGATCTTGGGAATATGGCCTTTACTAGTGTTCTTGTCCTTCTTCCTGTTGTGATGCTGGGACTAGCATGTATTTATGTTCCTCCCCAAGAAGTGGAGTTACCTCTTTGCCCATGTTTTTCTCTCTTAGCTTCAGTGAGTTTCCACCAAGCTATGATACTGATGCACTTCCTCCTAAAAATAAAGGATTTTGTTGCTTAGAGGACATGGGCCAGATGGGTCTTGGCAGCATTTCTCACCTAGTTTCAATGAGATTTCACCAGTGCCCTCAGATACAGGTTTGCAGGTTAAGGATTTTGTTTTGTAGGAGAGATAGGATAGATGGTTCTGAGTGGCTTTCAACACTGACTACTATTCTCTTTTAGCCAGCAGTGAGTAGCTTACTCAGAATTGTCCCCTATCTGTGTGTGTGTGTGTGTGTTTTGAGGTGGGGTCTCACTCTGTTGCCCAGGCCGCAGCAGTGTATGGCTGGATCACAGTTTATGGCAGCTTTGACCTCCCAGGCTCAAGTGATTCTCTCATCTCAGCCTCCCGAGTAGCCAGGACTACAGACATGCACCACCACACCCAGCTAATTTTATAATTTTTTGGAAGAGACAGGGTCTCGCTTTGTTGCCCAAGCTGGTCTTGAACTCTTGGGCTCAAGTGATCCTCCTGCCTTGGCCCCTTAAAGTACTGGAATTATAGGTGTGAGCCACCGTGCCTGGCCTTTATATATAATTTGATTACAAATTTACTGACCACATGTGGTTGTTAGGACTAAAATAATCAATGTAAAAGGATTATATAAAGTGATAATGATTATTACTGTCCTAATCACAGTTATTATGGTTCCAATATTTAAAAATCAAGAAAGCAGTAGCAAAGGATATTATGTAATATATGTGTGAACTAACAGATATTAACTTACTTTTTGCAATTTTATCTTTGTCATTTCACCACACTTAACATGAATAATCTGATATTTAAAATAGGTAAGTATGTACTGGAGACAGAGTTTCAGATTTGAAAAATTATTTTAAGACTTTCAGGAAAAAGAAACAATATAAGAGCAAAACCAAAAGTAAAAAGAAAATTCTTTTTTTTTTTTGCTTTCTATCTATTCATTTTAAGATCTTCTGTTTCTTTCTTATACTATCAGTTTATCAATCCTAAATATTCTTCTTACCTTCATCAAGAGTGATGATAATTTTAGCACTTACTGAACTCATCATTTCATGTCATTTTTCAAAAAGTCTACTTCCATCTCCCTACTATTACCTTTTATATTACTAGGAATTTAGTTAATTCATCTTATTGCCTTGGAGAACCTTAAACTTAAAGCATCTTTGATGTTTGAGTATCTATAGCCTACTTAAAAAAAACCTAAAGGAAGAAATGCCACCATTTTGCTGTACTCTATTCAGGTGTTTAACAGCCCTAATTGAATAGATGTTTCCTTTAATCAAATAGGCTTACTAGAAACATAAATTCTAGGCTCTGAGATTTTTTGTTTTTTTTAATTTTGCAGCTGACATGAGAGGACAGCTGTGCTGTTTTATGAAGGAATAAAATACCGAGGAATTGTATTGACAGGGTCTGTAACACAAAGGCAGTTGGTAAATACTTTCTTATTGTCTACATTTTTTGTAGTCTGAGTTGTATGCTTTCCCTACACCATGTTGACTTACTGTAAGTGTTTTAACCCCACTAGACTTGAGGCTCCTTGAGGGACAGAATTTTATCTTCTTCATCTGTTCTTTAATTATACCTAGCACTGGGAGGTAATTACTTAATTTTTGTTTGTTGGTTTGTTTTCTGAACTGGAGGAATTGTTTTGCATTTTAGTGGCTTAAGAGTGTTTATTTACACCTAAATATTTTGCAGAATAGAGCAGAGAACATCACAGTTTGGGGCAAATCACTAGGTTTCTCTTGGCAACACAAGGCTGTTGACATTTATTAAGGAGCTTGGGACTTATCAGAGAGTTAGCTTCTTTAGAGTTCTTTGGAACTTTGGAGTATAGATTTGGCTGTAGATGCTGACTGGAAATTAAGGTGAAAATGTAATACAGTAACCAAAAGACGTGGCAGGTTAGGTTGTCTTTAAAACAGTGTGGTTGGCACTATGTTTTAAAATGGAGCTAGCACTGCTCAGGTAGGCAGGGCGTATCAGGAAATTCATCAAGAGAAGGAATTACCATCTTGCAGCAGAATTCTGTCATTTAACATATTTTTGGGGCATGGATGGCATCCAGTCCCCAGATAAAGGATGAATAAGAAAACAGAAGCAGGTACCGGAGCCAAATCCATCCCTAGAATTTTGAGCATATAGAGTTGGAGAAAGTGGAGACTCCAGAGCAACAGTAGAGCCTAGAGGCATTATCAGTCTTAGGTCTTTTTAGCAGCGTAGGGGACTTTGGATGGTGGCGTAGTTTTGGCAGCAGTGGCTCTAATGCTAGGCCCTACAAGTAGATAAGGCTATTTAATACTGAATTACTTTCATCTGAAGTCTTCCAGGGGCCTGATCATTCTGTCCAGATGTGGAACAAGAAAATGATAGATCTAGGATTGTTATGATTCTCTTTAAAATTCCCTAGGGATTTGTTTGGATCTGGGATTGTAAAGCCATAGAGTACATTGTGGGTTCTCAGTAAATCCTTTGAGTGAATGAATAAATGAAAGCAGCCACTTGGATCTCTTATGGCCAGTAATGCAACCTGGTTTATTTGTGAATTATTTCCTTAGGGAATGATAATCTCATAACTTCAGCACTCAGATATAAAGTCTACAGGTTAAATTACCAGTCTGGGTTATAGGTTTTATTGGTATTACTTTTGTTGCTTTTGTTTACTGATATATGCTCCACTCAGTAACTAATTGTTTAATACATTTTGTTGTAGAATATTATGTTTAGTGTTTAACTTTATTTTGTACCTTTGTTAACTAGGTGTTTTTTTGAGTATATTGTGGGTATACTTATGTACCAAGTGCTGCAAGATCTATAAAAAAATATAAGATGTATTCCCTGCCATTAACGAGCTCAAGTTAGTGTAGCTAACTCAAAGAAAGGTAGGTAACTATGCCAGTCAGTAAATGAAGAGTACGATGAGTGATAGTTAAGAAGAAAATGTTTATAAGTGCACATTCAAAACTGGATGATGTCAGCCTAGTATTTTGAAAACATTCTCAAATATTCAATTTTTAATGCACTGTTAAAAAATAGGAAGTACTTTTATTTCACATTTTAATTAGATGAGAATAACTAATTTATTTTTCATTAGTGGTGTTATTAGAGCATTAATTTTCCAAAAGAAAATTTGTAGAATGTTAATGAAGCTACAGTAGGAAATAAATAAATGTTCTGTAAATAATCATTCACCATATTTGATATTTGATTGGTTTAGAACATTAATACAAATGTTCAGAATATTGTTTTGTGTTTTTGGTAAAAGCACATTAGTGTTCTTGGTTAGGCCTGCGTGCCTTGTTTCCTGTTATGGCATTTTAGGCCAGATTATTAGATCTATTTTGATTTAATGGTAACAGTGCCATCTACTGAGTCATCAACATGATATACCGTCTATATTTCCAGAGGAAAAAAGAGGAGAAAATATATGGTTATTCACTTATTTTTGTTTTTTATTTTATTTTTAAATTTGATTGCTGCTTTATTCAGTCTCAGAAGAAATTTTAATGAAAAAGTATGAGTAAGCAGGTGCCTTGATTCTAAAAATTTCCTTGGTTGGAAATAGCAATTGAACTTTAAATACATTCTCTTTCTAGTACATTAAACAGATTGAATTCTATCAAAAGCCTACTTGAACTACTTATAGTATATCTCACTTTATGCATCATAATCCCATGTTTTCCTACTTTTTATATTCTCTATTCCTCAAACATATCTTTTCTGCTTCCTAGGGCAAAGCATTTCAAATAGATTAAATAATAAATAATATATTGAATTTTTATATTTTCAACTCAGTGGGATAATTAATTATGAAAATTATTTTGACAGTCCATCATTTCTTAAGTTCATAAGCATGTTTATAAATGTATGATTAGATTTTCCCCTGAAAAGATGTTTTATAGAAAAGATATATTTCCAACAATGAGGAATCTTGAGTAAAATGTATTGTGTTGTATACTGTAACTAAATATAAATCATATTCAGCACATGAAATAGTATATATTTTTATATTTGTGGTTCTTAATTCATTACTACTGAGAGATTACCTGTTTAAATACTTCTGTTTATAGTTACAGACCTTCACTGATGAAAGAACTATTCTCCCTTAAGAAGTTACCAAATCTGTTTTTCATGCAACCTTAAATCTTTTAGTGTTCTAGGGACTGGATTATATACAACTGAAAGGGAAAACTGTCACTATCATTGTGAAGCTGAATTAAAATATAGTTAATATTATTTTTTGTAGCTCAGCAACTTTTTCCATTTGTTAACAGATACCCTTCCTCTTTAACACACACACCATTGTGCTTTCTAAAAAAATTAGGCCGAGGCGGTGGCTCATGCCTGTAATCCCAGAACTTTGGGAGGCGGAGGCAGGCAGATCACTTGAGGTCAGGAGTTCGAGACCAGCCTGGCCAACATGGTGAAACCCCATCTCTACTAAAAATATAAAAATCAGCTGAGCATGGTGGGGGGCCCCTGTAATCCCAGCTACTCAGGAGGCTGAGGCAAGAGAATCGCTTGAACCTGGGAGGCGGAGGTTGCAGTGAGCCAAGATCATGCCATTGCACACCAGCCTAGGTGACAGAGCAAGACTATCTCAAAAAAAAAAAAATTAAATTTTTGTTTGACAAAATTGTGTATATTTATGGTATACAACATGTTTTGTTACATATATATATATAGTGGAATGTCTAAATGGAGCTAATTAATGTATGCATTACCTCACATATTTATTTGTTGTGAAAACAGTTAAATCTGTTAGCAATTTGAAGTGTACAATATATTGTTATTAACTATAGTCACCATGATATATAATAGATCTCTTGGGCTTATTCTTCCTTTTAGCAGAAATTTTGTATCTGATGACCAACACCTCCTCAATCTCATCCTCCATCCCTAGCCCCTGAGAACCACTATTCTATTCTCTGCTTCTCTGAGTTTCACTTTTTTAGATTTCCCATGAGTGAAATAATATTCTATTTGTTTTTTTGTGCTTGTTTTATTTCATTTAACAACATGGATGAATCTTGAGGATATTATGTTGTGAAGGACAAGATATATATATTTTTTTTAAGGTTGAATAGTCTTCCAATGTATATGTATATACCACATTTTCTTTATCCATTCACCCATTGATGGACAATTAGGTTGATTCCATATCTTGGCTATTGTGAATAATGCTGAAATAAAACATGGGAGTGCAGATATCTATTTGACATACTGATTTCATGTACTTTTTTTTTTTTTTTTTTTTTGAGATGGAGTTTCGCTTCGCTCTTTTTGCCCAGGCTTGAGTGCAGTGGTGCAATCTCTGCTCACTGCAATCTCTGCCTCCCGGGTTCAAGCAGTTCTGCTGCTTCAGCCTCCCAGGTAGCTGGGATTACCGGTGCCTACCACCACGCCCAGCTAATTTTTTGTATTTTTGGGAGGGACAGGGTTTCACTATGTTGGCCAGGCTGGTCTTGAACTCCTGATCTCAGGCGATCCACCTGCCTCGGCCTCCCAAAGTGCCGAGATTACAGGCATGATCACCATGCCTGGCCCAATTTCATATACTTTTGATATATACCCAGAAGTGGGATTATTGACTCAAAGAATTGTTCTATTTTTAATTTTTTGAGGAACCCCCTTACTGTTTTCCATTGTGGCTGTACTAATTCACATTCCCACCAACAGTGTGAAAGGATTTCATTTTCTTCTCATCCTCATTTACACTTATTTTCCATCTTTTTGATAATAGCCATTCTAACAGGTGTGAGGTGATATCTTATTGTGGTTATAATTTGTATTTCCCTGATGATTAGTGATGTGGAGCATTTTTTCATATACCTGTTGGCCATTTTTATGTCCTTTTTTGAGAAATGTCTTTTTCAGGTCTTTAGCCTGTTTTTTAACCTGGTTATTTTCTTGCTCTTTAGTAGTTTGAGTTCCTTATATATTCTGGATATTAAGCTCATATCAAACGTATGGGGTGTATTAGTCCGTTTTCACACTGCTATAAAGAAATACCCAAGACTAGGTAATTTATAAAGGAAAGAGGTTTAATTGTCTCACAGTTCCACATGGCTAGGGAGGCCTCAGGAAACTTAACAATCATGGCAGAAGGTAAAGGGGAAGCAAAGACCTTCTTCACGTGGCAGGAGAGCGAAGAGAGGGTGAAGTGGGAAGAGCCCCTTAGAAAACCATCAGGCCTTATGAGAACTCACTCACTATCATGAGAACAGCATGGGGAAAACTGCCCTCGTGATCCAGTCACCTCCTATCAGATCCCTCCATTGACACATGGGGAATTACAATTCGAAATGAGATTTGGGTGGGGACACAGAGCCAAACCATTATCATATGGTTTGCAATAATTTTCTCTCATTCTGTAGGCTGTCTCTTCACTCTGTTGATCATGTACCTTGCTGGGCAAAAGACTTTTAGTTTGCTAGAATCCCATTTGTCTATTTTTGCTTTTGTTTCCTGTGCTTTTGGGGTCATATTCAAAATACCATTCCCTACTTTGGGAGGCTGAGTCAGGCGAATCACTTGAGGTCAGGAGTTTGAGACCAGCCTGGCCAACATGGTGAAACCGCGTCTCTACTAAAAATATAAAAATTAGCCAGGCGTGGTGGCAGGCACCTCTAATTTCAGCTACTTGGGAGGCTGAGGCAGGAGAATCGCTTGAACCTGGGAGTCGGAGCTTACAGTGAGCCGAGATCGTGCCACTGCATTCTAGTCTGGGCAACAGAGCAAGACTCCGTCTCAAAAATGAAAACAAAAAACAAACAAAATACCATTCCCTGGACCAATGCCAGGAAGCTTTTCCCCTAGGATTTCTGCCAGTGGTTTCACAGTTTCAGGTTGTATATTTGAGTCCTTAAGCCATTTTGAGTTGATTTGTATATGACGTGAGATAAAAGTCCAGATTTATTCTACTGCATGTGGATTTTCAGTTTTCCCAATATCATTTGTTGAAGGGACTGTTCTTTCTCCATTGTGCATTCTTGACATCTTTGTCAAAAATCGGTTGACTTATTTCTGGTCTCTCTTCTATTCTATTTGTCTATGTGCCTGTTTTTGTGCCAGTACCATGCTGTTTTGATTACTGTAGGCTTGTTGGAGATTTTCAAATCAGGCAATATGATGCATCTAGCTTTGTGCTTTTTGCTCAAGATTGTTTTCCTATTTAAGGTCTTTGGTCGTTCCATGTGAATTTTAGGATTTTTCTAAATCTGTGAAAAATGCCATTGGAATTTTGACAGTGGTTACGTTGAATCTGTAGATCACTTTGGATAGTATGGACATTTTACCAGAATTTTTACAATTCATGATTACTGGGTATCTCTCAATTTTTCTGTGTCTTAAATTTTTTTGTGTGCGTGTTTCGTACTTTTCAGTGTGCAGATTTTTCAATTCCTTGGTTAAATTTATTCCTCTGTGTGTGTGTGTGTGTGTGTGTGTATACGTCTGTTTTTGTAGCTATGGTAAATGGTATTGTTTTTTGATTTTTTTCAGATATTTTGTTGTTAGTGTATAGAAATGCTACTGATATTTGTACGTGGTTTTGGATCTTAAAACTTTACTGAATCTTTGGTTAGTTTTAACTTTTTTTTTTGTAGAGTTTAGGGTTTTCTATACATAAGATGCTGTCAGCAACCAAAGACAATATAACTTCTTCCTTTCCAATTTTGATGTTTTCATTTCCTTTTTTGCCTAATTTCTCTAACAAAGACTTCCATTAACTACGTTGAATAGAAGTCGTGAGAGTGGGTATGCTTGTCTAGTTCCTGATCAGAGAAGAAAAGCTTTCAACTTTCTACTGTTGTGTATGATGTTAGCTGCACACTTTTCATATATGGTCTTTATTGTGTTGTGGTGCATCCTTTTATAACGCATTGTTTTATTTTCCCTTTGCCTTCTTCTTTGACACACTGGTTATTGAATAACCTGTTGCTTAATTTCCACATAGTTGTGGTTTCCTACCACATTTCATATCATTGTGGTTGGAAATAATAAATGATACCATTTGGATCTTCTTAAATGTATTGAAACTTATTTTGTGGGCTAACATATTACCTATTATGGAATGTTTGGTGTGCACTTGAAAAGAATGTGGATTCTGCTGCTTTTGGAAGGAATATTCTGTGTATATCTGTGAGGTCCAATTTGGTCCATAGTGCTGTTTGATTCTGTTGTTTCATTATTGATTTTCTCACTGGATGTTCTCTTTATTGCTGAAGCTGGGATATAGATATTTTCTACTGTTATTGTTTTGCTGTCTATTTCTCCATCAGTCCTGGTAGTATTTGTTTACATATTTAGGTGGTCTGATGTTGGGTGCATATAAACTTACAATTGTTATATTTTCTTGATGAACTGACCACTTTCTAATTATATAATAACCTTTTTTTTTTTTTTTTTTCTGAGACGGAGTCTCGCTCTGTTGCCCAGGCTGGAGCACAGTGGTGCGATCTTGGCTCATTGCAACCTCTGCCTCTTGGGTTCAAGTGATTCTCCTGCCTCAGCCTTCTGAGTAGCTGGGACTACAGGCAGGCGCCTGCCACCACGCACGGCTAATTTTTGTATTTTTGGTAGAGACGGGGTTTCACCATGTTGGCCAGGATGGTCTCGATATCTTGACCTTGTGATCCACCTGCATTACCCTCCCAAAGTGCTGGGATTACAGGCGTGAGCCACCATGCCCAGCCTATATAATGACTTTTTTTTTTAATCTCTTGTGACTTAAAGTCTACTTTATTATGAATACAGCTACTCCTGCCCTCTTTTGGTTTCCATTTCCCTGGGGTACCTTTTGCTATCCTTTCACATTCAACCAATTTGTGTCCTTATAGACGAAATGAATCTCTTGTAGGCAGCATGTAGTTGAGTCTTGTTTTTAATTTTTTTTTTAAATATCCATTCAGCCGCTCTGTCTTTTGATTCAGGAATCAGTCCATTTACAATCAAGGTATGTATTGATAGGTAAAGATATGCTACTACTAACTTTGCATTTTCTGGTAGTTTGTAGATTCTTTGTTTCTTATATTCTGGCTGGCTTTCTTTTTGATTTATTTTTCTGTAGTAGTATGCTTTGGCTCCTTTCTCTTTATTCTCTTGTATCTACTACAGGGTTTTTCTTTGTGGTTACTGTGAAGCCTGTATAAAACATCTTGTCACTCTAACAGATTATTTTTAGCTGATAATTGATTTAACTTTAACCATTTACTAAAACTATATGCTAACTTCTCCTTTCCCCCACATTTTCTGTTATTCATGTCACAATTTACATCTTTTATATATTGTGTATCCATTAACAGATTATTGTATCTATGGTTATTTTACTGCTTTTCTTATAACTTTCATACTGTAGTTAAAAGTGATTTATGTACCGCCATTATAGTATTAGAGTGTTCTCTATTTGAGTATATTCTTAGCTTACAGTGAGTTTTATATTTTCATATGTTTACATGTTGCTAGTTAGCATCCTTTACTTTCAACTAGATTTCTCTTTAGCATTTCTTGTAAGGTAGGTGTGGTGGATAATTTTAGGTGTCTTATTGACTGCATAAGGAACATATAGGGAATTGGTAAAGCATTGTTTTGGGGCATATCCATGAGGATGTTCTAGAGAAGATTTGTTTGTGTGTCTGAGTGGACTAAGTGGGCAAGGTCTGCTGTCAGTGTGGGTAGGCATCATCCTATCGACCATGGGCTGGTAGAGAACAAAAATAAGGGAAAGACAAATTGGTCTCTGTCTCTGTCCCAGATCTGGGATATACTCTCCTGTTCTTGAACATTAGTACTCCAGGCTCTCTGGCCTTTGTACTTCAAGAGTTACACCCCTCCCCTGTCCTATGTTTTCAGGCTGTTGGACTTAGGAGTCAGCCATGTTACCAGCATAGAGTCTGTAGCTTGCAGATGACCTGTTGTAGGATTTTTCAGCCTCCATAATTACATGAGCCAATTGCCTTAATAAATCTCCTCTCATATGTCTATATTTATATCTATCTATATATACATCCTATTGATTCTGTCTCTGTAGAGAACCTTGACTAATACAGTGAGTCTGGTAATTACGAACTCTCAAAGCTTCTGTTTGTCTGAGAAGATCTTTATCTCTCCTTTATTCCTGAAGGACAGCTTGCTGAGTATAGTGTTCTTGGTTGACAGATTTTTTTTCCCTCTCACTTTCAGCATTTTTCAGTATTCTCACATGCTCTCCTAGCCTGCGAGGTTTCTGCTGAGAAATCCACTGATCATCTTATAATGTTTCCCCTTGTATGTGGTAGGCATTTTTTCTCTTGCAGCATAAAAACATTTATTTTTGTCTTTGCCATTTGAGAATTTAATTTTAATGTATCCCAATTATTTTGAATTGTCAGATGGTTTGTAAATATAAATTTCTTTAGAGTCATTTAGTAGTACATTATTTTGCCAGTTTTTACAGACTGGCTTTGACAGAAGAAGCTCTTTACCAGTCAGCCTGTCCAGTGTTTCTGAGTGGGCTTGCTACTAGAATTCTTGGGAAGGCTGGCTTAGTGCCCATGTCAGCAGTTTGTCAGGCCTGGTGCCTGAGCTCATAGGAGCCTGCCGGGTGCCCAGACACAACCAGGTTATGTCTGCTGGAGCAGGCCTGGATCCTGGGTGCCTGGGGGCTGTCTTGGCATCAGAGTCTAATCAAGTGGGCCTGCTAACTGGATTTGTAGGGGCATGGAACCTGTGTCTATGGGGGGCTGGCCTGTCACTGGGATCTACTGGGGTAGGCCTGGTGTCTGGGTGTCTGGGATCTACTGGAGTGGTCCTAGAGGCTGCATCCGTGGGATGGGTCTAGAGTCTGAATCCATGGGAACTGGCTGGACACTGGGGCAGGCCTGGAACTTTAATCTGCAGGAGTGGGCCTGGGTTTTTGATCTGTGGGAGACAGACTGAAGCATGGGTCCACAGGCGTGGTCTTGGGAGCCTGGGCCTGTTGGAGTGGGCCCAGCACTGGGATCTACTAGGCAGGCCTAGATGTTGGGTCTGCTGGACCCTGCCTGGTGCTAGGGTTATCCTGGAGCCTGGGGCTTCAGGGGCCAGTTTGGAGCCTGCAGCTGTGGATGCTGGCCTGGTGCCTTGGGTTGTATGGGCCAGGTTGGAGTCTCATTCTGTGGGCATGGGCCTGGATCCTGCATCTGTGCTGGCTAGCTTGGAGGCTGGGGCCACAGGAGCTGGCCTGGTACTGGTCTTGTGGTACTTTTTAAAGGAAGTGTAATTCTTTTATAACACAAATGTTTGGCTCTTTTAGCTCTTTAAAAATAAACCTGGATTTTTTTTTTTCAAGAGGGAAAGAGTATGGCATAATGGAAGGAGAAAGGGACTCAGAGTCAGCCCAATATTAATCATGTCTGAGCCACTTATTAGTGGAAAGATCTTCATCAATTTACTAATCCTCTCTGTACTTTTTTTTTTAAATCTTGGAAATGTGTATAATAATGCCAATAATATCTCTAATAACAGGGGCTTCAGGATTGCAATCTGCTTAGAAGAGTAGGAGGCTAACATACTTATCTTAAAAATTTATGGCAAGCATATTTTCTATGCACAATCTAAGTTTATTTGGGGGATTTGGTGGGGTAGGAAATTTTGGTGGAAGTAATAGGAAGAAAATACCTTCACGTCAATCCCTTAGTGCTGCCAGCAGAATAATGTATTTATGTAATCAAGACTATTATGATTAAGAGTAGTATATTTTTAGTGAGTGCTGGCTATCTTCTGTATTTAATTACTGAAAGAGATGAACTGTTTCAAAATCCTCTTTTTCTTTCTAGAATGAATTCCAACCATTTAAATAATTCATAATTTGAAATAACATTATTCAATTTGTTCCCCTATTCTGATATTTAAGGGTCATGAATTGCCATGTTTTCCTTTTCTTAAATCAATGTCTGTGTCATTTACTTTTACTTTCCTTTTGATAAGCAGTTGGACATTGATGTTATAACTGAAAAAAATAGTCTATAGCAGCGCATCTGTAATTTTCATTTCAGTTTAATTGCCTAGGAATCTTGTTGACTGACGATTCTGATTTAGTAGGTCTAAAGGTGGGACCTGAGATTCTGCATTTCTAACTAACTCCCAGATGCTGCTCTTACTAGTCTATAGACCACACTTAAAAGTGGCATGGGACTTGAAATAGTGTAGGTTATCACAAAATTTTAAAGGTGGAAGGAACTGTACAAAGTTGGTAATTCTTGGGCATACAGTGATTTCAGGGTGAGGACACTAAAACTTAGAGAATCCAAGGGTCTTGGGATAAGGTCATGATAGCTAACAGAACCATAAGAAATTCAACTCATTCTATAGTTTTTGTGTGCTTTCTACCACACACCAGTGCTTCTTAAGTTTCAGTTATTTACATATATTATGTAAGTTCCTAGATAAATCTATACAGTGAAGCTGAAATCCCTGGAATGTGCTATGTTACAATTATTCCTTCTTCAAGTAACTGAAGACATTATTAAATTATGGCAAGATTTGTCAACCAAAGTCTCAGTGATATCTGTACACCTACATTAAAGGAAAATGAATACATATGCAATCTGCTGTCAGAATTTTAGGAATCCTGATCTTTACTGTTCTGATAAGTCTCTTCTAAAGGTGTTTTAGAGACTGATTTTTCAATTTGATTACTAAATAAAGCAAAGGAAAGAACTAAAGGAATTTTGCATGAGGAGAGGACGAATGAGATTTCACTATGGACAGAATTGTGACTAAATTTTACCATATGGCCTACAATGTCTCTCCCAGTCAAGGTTATATATAATGCCTCTGTACTCTTCTATTTCCCAGTATCATATCTGGAACCAAGACACTTGGACAGGAATCCTATTTTAGACAGAGGACTGAAAGTAGTAAATGTAAATATTTTTAAGACATTGCATTTGATAAGGAATAAAGGAAGAGTGAATCTCTGACTCATTTCTCCTCAAATTATTATTTTGTTGTGATTTATGAAAATTAACAATCTGAACAAGAGAAGGAAGTTATGATTAATTTTGGAAGATTGTAAATTGCATACCAGTTTTCCAATGTTAGCCATTTTTAATCAACTCAGTTTTTAAACAAAAATTTATAAATATGGCTGAACCGAAGATATCTATAGAGAGCTTCAACATAAGATTTGATCAAGCAGAAGAAAGGATCAGTAAGCTCACAGACTGGTTATTAGAAATTACCCAGTCAGAAGAACAAAATGAAAAAAGAATTTAAGAGTGAGAAAGTCTGTGAGAATTATGGGGCAGTGAAGCAAACCAATCTTTGCATTATAGGAGTTCCAGAAGGAACACAGAGAGAGAAAGGAGTAGTGAATGTATTTAAAGAAATAATGACAGAAAACATTCATAAACTAGGGACAGATATAAATGTCCACACATAGGAAGCTCAAAGGTCTCCAGTTATGTTCAGCTGAAACAATGCTACAATAAGACTTAGTAAAACTCTCAGAAGCGTTAAGACAAAGAGAGGATCCTGAAAGCAGCAAGAGAAAAGAAGCAAATCTCATACGAGAGAACTCCATTATGGCTATCATTAGATTTTTCAACAGAAACCCTGCAGGTCAGGGATAGAGTGAAAAAAAAAAAAAAAAAAAGCAAACAAAAATTTCTTGCTCAAAGAAAGAAAAAAAAAAACACCAGGAACCATAAAGTTGTCCCTCAGAAATGAAGGAGAGATAAGGACTTTCCCAGACAAATAAGAACTGAGGAAGTTCACTAGACTTGCCTTATAAGAAATGCAAAAGGGAATTCTTTAAGCTGAAAGAAAAGGATGGTAATTGGTAATATGAAAACATATAAATGTAAAAAATTCACTGGTGAAAGTAAGTATGTAGTCAGATTCAGAATGCTGTATGTAAAGCTACAATGGTGGTGTGTAAATCAATTATATCTTTAGTAAGAAGGTTAAATATAAAGTAGTTAAAATAGGTATATTTACAATAATTAAGTGATATACAATATATAAAATGTAAATTTTGACATCAGTAACAATATGTTGGTGGGTAATAAAATTGTAGAATTCTTGTGTGTTATTGAAGTTATCAGCTTAAAAATAGCCTGTTACAACCGTAATATGTTTTATGTAAGCCTCATGGTAACCACAAAAGAAAGAGCTACAGTAGATACATAGGAGATAAGTAAGAAATCAAAGCATACCACAACAGAGAATCATTAAATTACAAAGGAAGACAGGTAGAGTGGAAGAAAGGAACAAAAAATCTGCAAAGCTACCAGAAAACAATGAACAAAATGGCAGTTGTATGTCTTTATCTATCAAACAAGTAGTTTAAATGTCAATGGATTAAATTCTCCCATCAAAAGATACAGAGCAGCTGAATGGATTAAAAAAAAAAAAGTCCAAACTATATGCTGTTAATAAGAGACTCATTTCATCTTTAAGGACACAAATAGACTGAAAGTGAAGAAATGGGAAAAGATAGTCTATGAAAATGGAAACGAAAAGAGAGCAGAGGTTGTTATACTTAGATGAAATAGACATTAAATAAAAAATTGTGAGAAGAGGCACAGAAGATTATTATATAATGATAAAAGTGTTGGTTAATCAAGAAGATACAGCAATTGTAAACAGATATGCACCCAATATCAGAACACCTAAATACATAAAGCAAATATTAATAGATCTGAAGGGAGAGACAAGACTGCAAGACAATAATAGTATAGGACTTCAATATTTCACATTCATCAATAAACACATCATCGACTTAGAAAATCAATATGGAATTTGATTTATAATTTGATATGTGGACTTCAATCACACAGTAAAGCAACTGTACCTAACAAACGTATATCAGAATAGTTCATCCAACAACATTGGAACACACATCCTTCTTAAGCATATGCTAAACATTCTCCAGGGTATACCACGTTAGTCTAGAAAACAAATCGTAACACATTTAAGAGGATTTAAGTGATATCAAGTATCTTTTTTAACCACAGTGGTATGAAATTATAAATCATTAATAGGAAGAATTTCAAAAAATTGCAAATATATGGAAATTAAACAACATGCTTCTCAATAATCAGTGGGTCAAAGAAGAAATTTAAAGGACAATAAAACAATACCTTGACACTAATGAAAGTGGACACTCAACATATCAATTTGTATAGGATGCAGCAAATCATAAGAGAGAAGTTTATAGCAACAGATGCCTACACATAAAAGAAGAAAAATCTCAATCTAGTGTTACACTTCAAGGAACTAGAAAAATAACACACTAAGCCCATAGTTAGTTGAATGAATGAAATATTAAAAATCAGAGCAGAAATAAATGAAGTAGAAATTATAAAAGCAATAGAAGAGATCAACAAAGCTAAGAGTTGTTTTTTTAAAAGATAAAATTGACAAACCTTTAGCTAGACTGAAAAAATAGTGAAGAGTTAAAGAAAATCAGAAATGAAAGAGGAGACATTACATCTTATATCACTGGAATATGAAGGATCATAAGAGACAACTATGAGCAATCATATGCCAACAAATTAGATAACCTAAATTCCTGGAAACATACATCTTATCAAGACTGAATCATGAAGAAGTTGAAAATCTGTATAAACTACTAATTAAGGAAGTTGAATCAGCAGTCATAGACTGCCCAAAAAACAACCCAGGACCTGATGCCTTTACTGGTGAATTCTACCAAATATTTAAAGAATAAACACCAGTGTTTCTCAAGCTCTCTCAAAAAATTGAAAATTGATGAGAGAAAACTTCAAACTCATTTTAAGAGGCCATCATTACCATGATACCGAAGTCAAAGACACTACAAGAAAAAAAAATGCAGGCCAATATTGTTGATGAAGATAGATGCAGAAATTCTCAATGAAATACTAGCAAACCAATACATGAAAAACATCATACACCATGATCAAGCAGGATTTATTCCTGGGATGCATTTATGTCTGTGGTTCAACATTTACAAGTTGATAAATGTCATACATTAATAGAATAAATTACAAAAACCATGTGATTATCTCAATAAATGCAGAAAAAGCATTAGAGAAACTTTAACATTTTTTATGATAAAAACCCGCAGCAAGTTAGGTATAGAGGGAATGTACCTGAACACAATAAAGGTCATATATGATAGGCCCAAAATTAACGTCATACTCAACAGTAGGAAGGTGAAGATGTAAAAAAAAAAAAAAGATGTAAATTACTACATGAAATCATAAAATATTATTGGGTGATGGAATAACAGTGTAGAGTTACTTTATGCAATCAAACCAAAGTTATCAGCTTAAAATAGTCTAACTGTAAGATGTTTCATGTAAACCTCTTGATCACTATAACGAAAAACTATGCTAGATACACT